>NC_000012.12:74126794-74278309 GCF_000001405.40 Homo sapiens
CTGGGTCAAATGGTATTTCTAGTTCTAGATCCCTGAGGAATCTCCACACTGACTTCCACAATGGTTGAACTAGTTTACACTCCCATCAACAGTGTAAAAGTGTTCCTATTTCTCCACATCCTCTCCAGCACCTGTTGTTTCCTGACTTTTTAATGATCGCCATTCTAACTGGTGTGAGATGGTATCTCATTGTGGTTTTGATTTGCATTTCTCTGATGGCCAGTGATGATGAGCATTTTTTCATGTGTCTGTTGGCTGCATGAATGTCTTCTTTTGAAAAGTGTCTATTCATATCTTTCACCCACTTTTTGATGGGGTTGTTTTTTTTTTTCTTGTAAATTTGTTGGAGTTCATTGTAGATTCTGGATGTTAGCCCTTTGTCAGATGAGTAGATTGCAAAAATTTTCTCCCATTCTGTAGGTTGCCTGTTCACTCTGATGGTAGTTTCTTTTGCTGTGCAGAAGCTCTTTAGTTTAATTAGATCCCATCTGTCAATTTTGGCTTTTGTTGCCATTGCTTTTGGTGTTTTAGACATGAAGTCCTTGCCCATGCCTATGTCCTGAATGGTATTGCCTAGGTTTTCTTCTAGGGTTTTTATGGTTTTAGGTCTAAGGATTTAAAGTATTGTTCCTGGATGTGTGCATGAGGGTGTTGCCAAAGGAGATTAACATTTGAGTCAGTAGACTGGGAGAGGCAGACCCACCCTCGATCTGGGTAGGTACCATCTAATCAGTTGATAGCACTGCTAAAATAAAGCAAGCAGAAAATGGAAGAGCAGACTTGCTGAATCTTCCAGCCTTCATCTTTCTCCCATGCTGGATGCTTCCTGCTCTCGAATATCAGACTCCAAGTTCTTCAGCTTTTGGACTCTTGGACTTACATCAGTGGTTTGCCAGGAGCTCTTGGGCCTTTGGCAACAGACTGAAGGCTGCACTGTTGGCATCCCTACTTTTGAGGTTTTGGCACTCAGACTGATCCACCGCTGGCTCCTTTGCTCCTCAACTTGCAGATGGCCTGGCCTATCATGGGATTTTACCTTATGATTTTGTAAATCAATTATCCTTAACAAACTCCTTTTTATATATACATACAACATATTAGTTATGTCCCTCCAGAGAACCCTAATACAGATCAGAAACAGATAGAGAATTTTTTTAAAATGCACTAGAGAATTTTTTAAAAATAAGTTAGAGGAATAGCCCTGGAATTCAGGGTGAAGGGATACTGTAAGAATCTCTTTCTCATGATTAGAGACTAAAATACATGTTATCATATGCTGTCTATGGCCTCTACCTACAAGCTTATTAGATATCTGTTAAGAATTAGAGAAAACCCTTAATCATGTCCTACATCAAGCTACCCAATGGTTCCAGCAAATGATCTGAATTATATGCATAAGAAAATGAGTCTATGCTACCAACGCAAGATCTGGTTCTGACTAGGAACTCAGGTGAGATCCAAGGAGTCCAACAGGTACCAACATAGACATCTATACTCAGCCTCTCTTTTTCATAATAAGCTTGAAAAAAATCAGTTTCAAACAAATAAGAAAAGCTATGTCATGAGATAATCATCTATTGGGAGAATTCGCTGTCATTTGTGAAAAGACATATATTAGAATAATCTTCTAAAAATAATTTAAAGCCAATATATTTTAAATACTTAAAAAGGAAATAATATTTCTTTAATAATCCAAAAAAGTTATAAAACAAATATATGTAGATATAAATCAATGATAAGTAGAAAAAAATAACAATTTTGGGAGATAAAGTAGATATTAAAATAAAAATAGAAAACTCTTAAACAGTGCATGTTATAATGACTTCATGTAAAGAGAGAAATAATCAAAATAGTGTACTCAGGAATTGATAAAATGCCACAAAAACATTAATGACATGAACAATATAAAAAATAAGTTAGGAAACAAAAAGAATAAATTGAAAATCACCAAAACGCACCTGAATGAGGAATCAGAATTAGAGACTAGAAGGAATAGCAGAGACACAAGATTAGATAAAATGGAGTTTTACGATTCAAAAAGACATGGTCCTTAGATAGACAAAATTGTATCTAATTCCAAGAAAGATAAATAAAAATAAGGCAACATGTGTGTATGTCACTATGAAGTTTTATAACATCAGGAAAAAATTGAAAACCTCAGAAGCTACCAGAGAGAAAGATACAAATACTTACGTAAAAAAGTGACAATTTGACAGCAAACTTGTCATCCACAACGAGGAAGTAAAAAGTAAATAGCCATTTGTAGTACAAGGGAAAATGTTTAGACTTCTATATCCTGGTAAAATTACATATAATTATATACATTTTATATAAATTATTAGTATATTTATATATAATTTTTTCTCCAATACTGAAATAAAAGTAAATATATGAGTACTCAACACACAAATCACCATTGAAAAAAGACATTAAAATTTGTTCTTCAGGTAAACCAAAAATTTTCTGAGAAGAAGTAAGATTCAAGAAGAAATAGTGAGGCCAGGCACCGGTGGCTCATGCCTGTAATCCCAGCACTTTAGGAGGCTGAGGTGGGAGGATTGCTTGAGGTCGGGAGTTCGAGAAAAGCCTGGCCAACATGGCAAAACCCTGTCTCTACTAAAAAAAATACAAAAATTACTCGGATGTGGTGGCGTGCCTACGTAGTCCCAGCTACTCAGGAGGCTGAGGCAGGAGAATCGCTTGAACCCAGAAGGTTGCAGTGAGCTGAGATCGTGCCACTGCATTCCAGCCTGGGTGACAGAGTGAGACTCCATTTTAGAAAAAAAAAAAAAAAAAGAAAAGAAAAGAAAAAAAGAAAGAAAAAAGAAATGGTGAGCAACATTTCAGTAAAATATTTGGACTAATTAGTTGACAATTGAAATATATTTGTAATATTTTAACTTAAAAAAAGAAATACTAAGTAGCAGTAATTAAAACATAGAATTGAGGGAAGTGGATTGGAAATTGAACAAAACATTCTAAGACATTTTTATCCTGTTTGACAGATAGATGAGAGTGAGACTAAAATGGCTTTCATTTTCTATGGATGTGTTTTGCAATTTCTGTGGTCCAAGCTGGCTTGACTGGAATGCCGGGTCAAGGAAAGCCTTCCTCTCACTTCTCTGCTGGAATATCTGGGGACTCTGCATGATCTATTATCTTCTAAGGGAATAGCATGAGCTAATTCACATGGAAGCAAAATGTTTCTCAGCAGCAAAAGAGAACAAGCCCCAGTAGAGAGAGATTTTTTAAGCCTCCTCTTGGATCGTATTTGCTGTAGTTCAATAAGCCCAAACAAGTCACAATTCATGCCTAGAGCCACTGTCAGAAGAGACTACAGGGAGGGGTGAACAAACGAAGAAGCATTCTGCCACAATATACCACAGTTAGAAAAACAGGATATTAAATACACTTGCTAACAAATGAATGATAAGCTGAAAAATAAGCGAATCCATGATGCAACTTTACAACCGTGGGAGAATAAAAAGGGGAGGGAGGAAATGTCTTAATAAAATCCAAAATGAGGCAAGGATGTTGGTGAAAAAGGCAAAGAATGCGTAGAAAATATAGTAGAAATAAGTCGAAATATATTAGCTATCAAAGAACTGTAAATAAATTATAGAGTATATTAAAAATCATTATTACTTATAAGAAGTTTACTTTCAAAAGGACAACAAAATCACAGTGAATGTTTACAAATTGGAAATTAAAAATTTGCCTTAAAAATAGTTTTAAAAAAACAGGCAGGAATATTGTTTTTGACAAATTAGGTTTTTGGCTTAACTTATTCATAGTACAAAGAAGTCATTACACAATGATAAAAAACAATCTAATCTAAATATGAAATGGTTATGAATGTTTGATGTTTTAACAGCATATGCTCACTTTTTTAAAAGAAAGAATTATAAGAAGCAAAAAGGTCTATGATTATATACAGATATTTCAGCATGTCAAAAATCTCAAAAAACTAGTAAAGCAAGTAGATGCAAAAATGTAACAACATAATGAAGATTTTTTTGTTGTTGTTTTTGATTTTTGAGACAAGGTCTCACACTGTCACCCAGGCTGGAGTGCAGCGGCGTGATCATAGCTCACTGCAGCCTCAACCTCCCAGGTTCAAGGGAGCTCACTCTCACCTCAGCCTCCCAAATAGTGGGACCACAGGCACATGCCTCCACACCTGGCTAATTGTTTGTATTTTTTCATAGAAACGGGGTTTTGCCATGTTGACCAGGCTGGTCTCTAACTCCTGGGATTAAGTGATCCACCTGCCTTGGCCTCCCAAATTACTGGGATTACAAACATGAGCCACCACACCTGGCTCAGAAGACTGAAGAACACAATTAACATGCTTAATTTGAAAAAAATATGTGAAGTACTCTGCACCCCTAAAATAGGGTAAATGCATTCTTGTCAAGCACACATGAAGTATTTACCAAATTTCTCTATTTTCTAATCAGTAAAGGAAGCATCTATGGATTCCACAGAACATGTATTATACAAATCATATTTTCTGATAACACAAACTATAATCCAACAGTGAAAAGTTAGTTAAAAGTCTATTTTTCAATATTATATAGGTTAATAAGAAAATTATTATAGAATATGGGATCTATTTAGAGCTCAAGTGGCAAAATATTTGTGATAATGGTACTTTAAAAGTAATTCATATTTATTTTTATTTAAGATAAAAAATCAACTAATTTTTAAAATAATTGAGCTGAGTGATCAATTTTTAAACCTCAAACAAAAAGCAGATATTTGAATCAAAATGTAAGAAAACAACTAGATGGAAATAGACAAAGGACCTCAATGCGAGCTTCATAAAAGACGAAATAGACAACAACAAATGAAAAAGTACTTCATCTCATTGACTTCAGGTAAACACAAATGAGTATTTCAAGGAGACATCTTTTTTTTTTTTCAACTTTTATTTTAGAAACAGAGGGTACATGTGCAGGTTTGTGAAAAAGGTATATCACATGATGCTGAGGTTTGGGGTATGATTAAACCTGTCACCCTGGTAGTGAGCATAGTACCTAATAGGTAGTCATTCAGCCCTTTTCCTCCTCTCCCTCTCTCCCCACCTCTCCCTTTCTCCCCACGAGTAGTCTAGTGTCTCTTGTTCCTATCTTTATGTCCATGTGTACTCAATGTTTGGCTCCCAGTGAGAATACGTGGTCTTTGGTTTTCTGTTTCTGTGTTAGTTCGCTTAGGATAATGGCCTCCAGCTGTATCCATGTTGCTGCAAAGGACATGATTTTATTCTTCTTTATGGTTGTGTAGTATTCCATAGTGTATATATACCACATTTTCTTTATCTAATCAACTGTTGATGGGTACCTAGGTTAATTCCATGTTTTTGCTATTGTAAATAGTGCTGCGACGAATATACAGGTGCCTGTGTCCTTTGGGTAAAACAGTTTATTTTCCTTTGGATATATACCCAGTAGTGGGATTGCTGGGTTGAATGGTAGTTCAACTCTCAGTTCTCTAAGGAATCTCCAAACTGCTTTCCATAGTGGCTGGACTAATTTACACTCTCACGAACAGTGTTTAAGTGTTCCTTTTTCTCTGCAGCCTCGCCAACATTGGTTATTTTTCTTAACTTTTTAACAAAAGCCATCCTGACTGGTATGAGATGATATCTCATGCTGATTTTGATTTGCATTTATCTGATAATTAGTGATGTTGAACATTTTTTATATGCTTGTTGGCTGCTTGTATGTCTTTTGAGAAGTGTCTGTTTATGTCTTTGACCCACTTTTTAATGAGGTGACTTGTTTTTTGCTTATTGATTTGTTTAAGTTCTTTACAGATTCTGGATATTAGATGTTTATCAGCTGCATAGTTTGCAAATATTTTATCCCATTCTGTCACTGTCTGTTTACTCTGTTGATAGTTTATTTCGCTCTTCAGTAACTCTTTAGTTTAATTAGGTCCCATTTGTCAATTTTTGTTTTTGTTGCATTTGCTTTTGAGGACTTAGCCATAAATTCCTTCCTGAGGCCAATGACCAGAATGGTGTTTCCTAGATTTTCTTCTAGGATTGTTAGAGTTTGTGGTCTTATATTTAAATTTTTAATCCATCTTAATTTTTGTATATGGTGAAGTGTATGGGTCCAGCTTCATGCTTCTGCATATGGCTAGCCAGCTATCCCAGCACCATTTATTGAATAGGCAGTCATTTCTCCATTGCTTATTTTTGCCAATTGTGTTGAAGATCAGATAGTTTTAGGTGTGTGGCTTTATTTCTGGATTCTGTTTTCTGTTCCATTGGTCTATGTGTCTGTTTTTTACCAGTACCATGCTGTTTTGGTTAGTGTAGCCTTGTAGTATAGTTTGAATTCAGGTAATGTGATGCCTTCAGCTTTGTTCTTTTTGCTTAGGATTGCTTTGGCTTTTCAAGATCATTTTTGGTCCTATATGAATTTAGAATAGTTTTTACTAATTCTGGGAAAAATCACAACCTATACACCAAATATATTAGTAGAAACTAAAAACAATTTTGACAATCCAGTGACGGTTTGGATATGGATGTAGATTGGTTCCATTCTACCTATGCTAAACAAGAGAAACACTAACCCCTAACTCACAGTGTCAAGTGTCTGGAAATGGTTGGAGGTAAGCTGGTTTCCAACCTGACACTCTTGACTGGTATATTTGAGTGCCTTCCAAGAACAGCTAAGAAAATTCTGAAAAAGAAAACAATGACAGCTCATTGACCTTACTACTTTCTGAAGCCTATGGATCTTTCATACATTACAAATCGTCTGTAAATCAATACTAAACTACAAAAACAAATAACTTTGCCTATCTACACACCTTACTTCAGATGAAGTCTGAAAATCACATTGTTCTTGTTTTTACCTTGAATTAAAGCATTCTACTTACCAAATACTCCTTGGAATATTTATGCTATTTCCATCCAAAATTCTTCCACAAAAAAAATAAGTTTTAGTTTATCTGTCTTCAGAAGGCCTACCTTTGTACTCTGCTAACTTCTCTTCCTCCTTCTCCCACTCTTTTTCCTTTCTTACCTTCCATTATTTTGTGTATAAGGTACATTGTGCCAGACATTGTGCTAAATGCCAGAAATACAAAGATCAATTAAAAATGACCACTTTTTGGGTAGAGTTTAAAAACTTGTATAGAGATTTCTTAAGAAAGAACAATTATATTTATAAAAATAAATGCACTACCACTTCATAAACTAATAGCAGCCAAATTTTCTTCATTGGGTTTTCTTGATATCTGTTCTGAGATATTTTGGTAACTTCTACTGATATTCACAATACGCTTATTGACTACATATGGAAAAACTGCTAACTGAGAAAAATGTCAGTAATTAATGGGCTAATTACATTCTTTCAATTAAATGTGTTCTCCTCCTTTAAGATCATGATAAAGACAACCAACATACAGTTAGATACTAATACAGAATTGTGGGAGGTTTTCAGATTTGATAAAGTTTTTTGAAAATTTGGAGTGATAATTACAATGTTATTTGTAGGCTCATAGGATTCCCAGTAATACATGAATTACACCAATTAGCTCTAATAGGTATGGCAGAGGAAAAAGCATGGAGTAGCCCAGAAATAATTTATGTTGCATGAATAAACTGTTCTTTGGCTCATACTAACAGGTTTCTTGATTATATAAACAGTTACAAAATGAATTGAAAACAGGAATTATCACTTACAGAAACTTTCCTTTATGCAAACTTTAAATATTAACAACTTTAACTTATTTTGCCTGACAAGCACCCTTATTGCTTAGATTTTGACTATGTATCAAAAGTTATCTAAAATAAATGTGGTACTGTAATTTACATTTTATATTTACATAACTACTACTGATTATGTACATATGGAATAGATAAATTAATCTCATCGCTTGATGAAGGTAAACATAATAAAACTTTTTGCTAATATTAAGGATCATCATTTCACAGTGCCTTATATTATGCTGAATGATCTAGTAGACAGAGAAACTTTCCAACTTTCCTAACATTTTGCATTTTTCTCTTGTTCGTCTTTTTTATCAGAATAGAATTATCTGAATTTAACTAAAATGCTATGTCTTATTTTGCTCCTAGGGTGTCGTAGGCTATGTCTACATCAAGACTTGTTAGTGTCAAGAAAAAGATAAGCTCAGTTGGAAAGAAAATTCCCAATGTAAACCTCTTTTTCACTTTGCCATGATTCTAGCCAAGGTGCTTCTCACCTCAGCAGTGACTTCACCTGACATTATTACTTAACTTGCATTTTCCTATTCCTTACATAAGGGAAATCTTCTGGAAACATATTAGATCTCTACATTCCTTTATCTCTAATTCTAAAGGATTATGAGTTGGAAACATTACTTTATTTTCAGTAACTCTTTATGTTGATTTAGTTTTAATCTTTTTGGTACGGTTTTAAACTTCCAAAAAGTATAGGAATAATACAAGAAACTCCTATAGGCTCTTTACCTAGACTTATATATTTTTTATTTTCCTCATTTGCTTTAATGTGAGATAAATTATTATATACTTTTTCTTTTAACACTTTAAATATTTATTCCACTAGTCTGATTTCTCACATGTCCACTGTAATTTTTATGTTATCCTTTATACTAAAAGTTCCTTCTTCTCTCTTCTGGCTTCATTTAAGATTTTTATCTTTCTCTCTCTCTGTCTCTCTCTCTCTCTCTCTGTCTCTCGCTCTTTTGAACATGATAGGCTAACGTGTTTTTTTTCGGGGGGAGAAGTATTTTTTCTGGTTAGTGTTTTCTCAGCCTCCTTTTATGTATGGTCCGGTGTTTATCATTAACTTTGGAAAGTACTTAGCCATTATTACTTCAAATATTTTTTCTGCTGTTTTCTTTTTTCTCTTCAGGTAATCCAATTACACATATGTTACATAGCTTGGAACTGCCCCAGTGTTCTTTGATGCTGTTTTGTTTTTGTTTTTAATTCTGCTCATAAGCACATCATGAGCATTTTTAATCTTGTTACATTGCTTTTTACTTCTAGTATTTTATTTTGATCTTACATTTTTTATCTCTCTGCTTACTTTACCTACTTGTTTTTGTTTGTTGCTTAATTTTTTTATTAAAACAACATATTAATTATAGTTATTTTAAATTATCTAATAATTCCAAAATCTGTGTCATATCCAATTCTAATGATTGTTTTCTCTTCAGACGAGGGATTTTTGTTTCTTTGTTTTATGTGTGTCTCTGTTTTGGTTGGTATATCTTATAATTTTTGGTTGAAATGCAGGGATATGATCAGTTAATAAGAACTGAGATAAGTAGGCCTTTAGTGTTAGGATTTATGGTAACCTGCCTAGAAGTGGATTGTGTTAATATTTGCTATATCTATAGATGCCAGAGGCTTTAAATTACTCTATGGTCTGTTTTTATATTTCTCCTCTTGACTTTATCCTTAACTAAATACTGTTCATCAGAGAGAGTCCATGACATGCCACTTTTTTTACCTGTAATCCACTGTTACTCTCATGGGGCCCTGTTGCAGTGGAAAGGGGATTAAAAGGCATTTTATCATCTTCTGATTAAATATCCAACTTTTAGATGATCTGTGTCTCTCAGATCTAACATTCACAATTGTTCGTATTTTTTCACGAGTATAAATTCCTTTTTCCTTGCCATCTACTTATTTCCCTGGCTGAAATATTTGTAGTCTATTTATGACAACCCTGACAGCTGTTTTTTGTTTTGTTTTTCTTTTTTTCTAATTTCAGTTTCTATTTTGGATTCAGGGGATACATGTGCAAGTTTGTTACATGGGCATATTGTGTGATGCTGATGTTTGGGATATGATTGATCCCATCACCCAGGTAGTGAGCATAGTACCAAAAGAGAATTTTGCAACCCTTTCCACCCTCTCCCTCTACCCTCTCTACTAGTCCCCAGTATCTCTTGTTCCCATCTTTATGTCCACACATAGCTGAAATTTAGCTCCCACTTTTATAAGTGAGAACATGTGATATTTCACTTTCTGCTTCTTCATTAATTCACTTAGAATAATGGCCTCCAACTCCATCCATTTTTGCCACAAAGGCTATAATTTCATTCTTTTTTATCGCTGTGTAGTATTCCATATTATATATTTACTACATTTCTTAATGCAATCCACCATCAAAGGGCACTTAGGTTGATTCCATGGCCTTGCTATTTTGAATTGTGCTGCGATGAACATAGGAGTCATGTGTTGTTTTGGTAGACTGATATATTTTCCTTTGGGTGGCTATGTACCCAGTAGTGGAATTACTGGGTTGAATGGTATTAGTTCTGTTTTAAGTTATTTGAAAAATCTCCAAACTGCTTTCAACAGAGGCTGAACTAATTTACATTCCCACCAACAGTGTATGTATTCCCTTTTGTTTGCAGCCTTGCCAGCCTCTGTTGTTTTTTGGCTTTTTAATAAGAGCCATTCTGACTGGTGTAAGAGGGTATCTTATTGTGGTTTTGATATGTATTTCTATGATGATTCATGATGTGGGAGCATTTTTACATACATGGGAACATTTTTACATATGTCTGTTGGCTGTTTGTATGTTTTCTTTTGAGAAGCACCTGACAGTTTTTGACAGTTTTTTTTTTCTTCCTTAATGAAACGGAAAGGCTGGTGGGAGAGACCTGGAGTAAAACGAATTTCCATTCCTCATCTGGGATAATGCTCTGGCAAAAAAAAATTCTCTGCACATAGTAGTTCTTATTGTGAAGTCTCTGGGTTTATTTCAATGGTTACTCTTCTCCTCTGCTTGCCACAACCAGAAGGGGAATTTTTCCTGGATCTCATTTGTAAGAAATTAGTGAAGTTTCTGTAGGTAAATCCCATGAATGTGATGGGCTCCCCTGTAAAACTTTAGCCCTCAGGAATTTTACACTCTCATGTTTATTCACACTCAGCCTCCAGCAATTTATCAAAATTACCATTTCTACCAGTTTATGGCTTCTGAGTTCCTACTAGTTTATGGCTTCTACTGCAACTAAGCAGATCTCGTCTGTATCTGTAGATTTAAATGTCCAGGTTTTGGAGTAGCAGTTTTTCCTTTTATACACCAGTTTTCTGATATTTCCTAGAAAAGTTTTTGACCAGTTCACCCAGCTTTGTCTTGATATAAAGATGAAAATGACAACTTTCAGGATTTTTACATAGCAGAGATGAAACTGGAACTAACTTCAGCAAAATGTATCTAGTATTTTTATCATCTACTGATAATTTTCTAACACCTTCATTCCTTCCGTATGACTTCACTTTGTCCTTGTTTTATAAGGAAGTGCTTTTCCATTGTTTGCATTTATTTATGTGCTTATTCATTTATTTATATCAGTGTAGGCTAAATGATTTCTTTTTCATTGAATAAGACATAATTTAGTAAATATTTTGATGCTCAAATTGTTCAGATTTGGCCAGTGTAAAGCCCAGCAAGCTGATTCCTGGGAACATCTGAGAAGTCCCCATGATTTTGATACTTTCTTTCTGACACATCACTATGTCTTTGGATCATTTTTTATTCTTCTTATAGGAATTAGTCATTTCTTCAAGGAACTTTAATTGCTTTTGTGGAAATTGGCATTTAGAAACTGAGATTTGGACTCTTAATGCTTTCATTAAGCATTATTTTCCCTTTCTGTATTTATAATTCCCTTTCTCAATAGTAAAAATATCTGGCTCCTGTTGATCAGCCCTTATAATGTTTTCATATTCTAGCAAATATAAATAGAATTGTTATGAAAGCGTTTTTCTGATTTTATAGTTTATTCATCTTAAATAAAGACTGTAAGTGGAATAGTAGGTCTTAGAATATGTGTTTGTTTAAGTTCAGAAGAATGTGCCAAATAATGTGTCAGAGGTTCCATCGAAGAAGGTCCCACTAGTAATATATGAGAGTTACTAATCCACATCCTTGCCAACATTTAATGTTGCCAGAATGTAAAGTTGTCCCATTTGAGTATGTCTCATGTGATTTTCATTTGCATATGCCCAGCGATTCATGATATTGAACACTTTTTATATGCACACTGGCCCTTTATTTTGCTTCCTTTGTGAATTGTTTGTTTAAATGTATTGCCAATCCTTTGTTATATATTTATTCTTAGTTTTAATTTATATAGGATATTATATATTCTGAACACATGCTTTGTTCTAATATGTGTTTTATATTTTTTAACACTGTCATATAATAAAAACATGTTTCTAAATTTGATTAGGTCTAATCTATCATTGTTTCCTTCACTATTTATGTGTTCTAAGTAAGAAATATGCTTCTATTACAGATGTCAAAATAATCTGCTTTTGTCACTTAAAAGCTTTTTATGCATCTTTTTCATGTAAGTCTATAATACATTTCTAATTATTTGTGTGTGTGTGTGTATGTTGTGTGTGTATGTTGTGTATGTTTCTGATGTGAGCCATAAAGATTCATTTTTGTTCCTTCGCATATCTACTTTATCCAGCCTCATATCAGAAAGACATTCCTATCTCCCTCCACTGAATTCCTTTAGTGACTTCAAAAATAATCCATTTATCATAAAATGTGAATCAATTTTTGGACTTTCTGTTATGTTTCACTGATCTATTTTTCTAAGTATTGTTTAGAGGAAAACTTATAACTACAAATGCCTATGATAAAAAAGAATGAAAGAATGATTTCAAATTAATAACCTAAACTTCCACCCCAAGAAAATAGAAAGAATAAACTCTGAATGGCCAGGAGGAAGGAAACAAACAGACAAAAAGTTAAGCGGAATAAATAAAATTTTGCATAGGAAAATAATAGAATGAATCAGAAAATTCCAGAGTTGGTTATTTGAAAAGATCAACAATGGTGACAAAACTTTATTTAGACTTACAAAAGAATGTTCAAATTACTAAAAATTAAAAATGAAGGAGAGGATATCATTTCAGAACTTAAAGAAATAAAAATAATTATAAGTAAAACTGTGAGTAACTATATGCCAACATATTAGTTCACCTAGATAAAACTGACTCCTGTCTAGGAATTAAAATGCTATCAAAACCGAGTCAAAAGAAATAGGAAATATGGATAGAACTTTAAAATTAAAGAGATTAAATTGGTGATTTTAAAACTTTTCACAAAGAAAATCCCAGGTCTAGTGGCTTCACTGGTGAATTTTAGAAATAAATTAAGGAATTAAATTCAATTCTATGTAAACTGTTTCAAAAAATAGAAAAGGAGAGAACACTTACCAACTCATTCTGAGATTAATATTAACTTGTTACCAATACCAGACAAATGCATTACAAAAAAGACTACTGACCTATATATAATAGAAATGTAGGTTTAAAAAAAAAAGGCAAAACAAAACAAATAAAAAATACTTCAAAAATATTAGTACACCTGCAGTCTTAGCTACTCAGGAGGCTGAGGTAAGAGAATTGCTTGGGCCCAGAGGTCAAGGCTGCAGTGAACCATGATGGAGCCACTGCACTCCAGCCTGAGTGACATTGTCAGACCATGTCTCAAGGAAAAGTATATATATTATGTATAATATATATTAGGAAATCAAATATATATTTGATATTATATATACCGTATATGTAGTATATGATATATAGTATATTTTTAATATATAAAATAATATATAATCTATATTAGCATATAGATTTACTAATACATATTTATATTATGTTAAATACAATGTATATATTTACTTATATATTGTATATATTTACATATATTATATATATAAATCTATAATAGCATATATACTAATATATATTTATATAATTATATATTATATAATATATTAGTATATATACTAATATATTATATTATTAGTGTATATACTAATATATAAATACAGATAAAATACATTAGTATTATATACACAATATATATTAGTAAATCAAATTCAGCAAAATATAAAAATTATTATGTATCATGACCAAGTGGGATCTATCCCAGGAATTTAAGATTAGGTTAATACCCAAAATCAAAAAATTCCAGTAGCTGGGATTACAGATATGTGCCATTGCTTCCATATAATTATTTTATCTTTGTAGTGAGAGGGTCTTGCCATGTTGCCCTCAGTGGTCTCCAGCTCTCGGGCTCAAGTGATCCACCATGGCTTCATGGCTTCCCAAAGTGCTGAGTCTACAGACCTAAACCACCACACCCAGCCTTTATTTTATTATTAATATGGTTCAATTTAATTATTAATATGATTCAATTCAGGTCTGTCTTTTTTTAAAAAAAATGTATTTCTTTCTCATTTTTCTCTCATTTGCACCCTCTCTTAGATTTTTTTTTTTAGTGTTACATCTGGAAATTATAATATGCATTTTAAGCTTATCATTGACTATTAGTGTTTATATTTTACCATATCACATAAAATCAAAAAAGACTGCAATAATATATTTTCATTTACCCCCATTCCTTTGTGCTATTTTTTTATATACAGCTTCTACATATTTGATGAAACCTACAATACATTGTTAGAATTTTTGCTTGAATGAACAAATTTAGGAGAATAAAATTAAGCTAATGAAAATATATTTTTGATATGGTTTGGCTCTGTCTCCACTCCATCTTGAATTGTAGTTCCCATAATCCCCACGTGTTGTGGGACCCAGTGGGAGGTAATTTAATCATGGGGGTGGTTACCCTCCTGCTGTTCTCAGTGATAGTGAGTTCTCATGAAATCGGATGGTTTTATAAGGGGTTTGTCCCACTTTGCTCAGTACTTCTCCTACCTGCCACATGTGAAGAAGGATGTGCTGCTTCCACTTCTGCCATGATTATAATTTTCCTGAGGCCTCCCCAGCTCTGCAGAACTCTCAGTCAATTAAACCTCTTTCCTTTATAAATTACCCAGTGATTTATTAATAGCAGCGTGAGAATGGACCAGTACAACTATATGTCTACCAACATATATACCATTATCAATATTTTTATTGCTGGTTTAATCTCTTCAGTCCAAACAACTTTCTTTACTATTTTATGTAGTGTATATTTTTTATGATGCTGCCATGACATTTTCACATTACTTAAAAAGGGGAAAAACATATGCCAACCAGAGTTGTATACTTGGTGAAAACAGTATACAAATATTAAACCAATTTGAAGTCATTTTCAGGTAAACAAAAATTATGGATGTTAACCGTGGGGAGGTTTGTCCAGTAGTATGTATACAATCAGGGACAAAGTGGGGAAATTGCTTAAGCTATATTTGTTTTTCTCTTTGTATACAGCAATAAAAATATCTGGCTCAAAAAAGAGCTTTGCTCAGAGTACAAGGAAAACCTGTTAAGATGGAAGATGGAGGTTGCAATGCAGATAATAAAAAAATTAGTGGTCCCTAAATTAATTTTGTTATTTCTTTATTATTTTATTTTTCGTACATATATTTAATTTTAACAATTCAGTATTTTTTAAATTGCTTATTTCATTTAGAAATGCAGACTTCCTACTTCTGTTAAAAAATCTGCAGATCTTACATTAGTCCCTCATATATACTGTTAACACTTAGTGGATCTTGAAATTCCAAGTTCTCTACAGTCATCTCCACTTTATCCTGCCTATTAATGAAATGCATTTTATATTAAGAGTAGGTCTCTGAAGCCATTGAGTTTGATACTCCCATAATGAAAAATGATGCACAAAAATTAATCTTGATCTATATGGAAAAGTAGAAAGGGTGACTGGAGAGCTTTTTAGAAAATTATATGTACTTATGTCCAGGTATTTACATCACCAGGAGGTTCCAGCTTGCAATTGCTCCTCAATCCATCACCTACTTGAACCAACACAATGTCTCTCACCACCTTCCACATCCTTCACACTCTTGCTTTCCTGAAATCTAAGTCCTCATTCATGGGCAATAAATTCTGCGGAGCCAAAATGTATATAATAAATCTTACATTTCTGGACACATTCTTACATAAAGCATGTTATATAAAGGCTGAGATTTTAGAGAAACATTAAGACAATATTTTATTTTTGGCATGTTATAGGCCAAGATAGTTTTGAGGCTGATTTTTAAAAATTAAAATGTAATTCTACTCTTATAAAGGTTAATTTTAAATTAAAGAGAAAGACAATTTGCACATAGGCTTTTATAACATTTTAAAGTTTAGGGATACAATATATTCAATACATCAGTAGGTGGATAGGGATGGGCAGACAGTAGATGATAGCTAGCTAGATAAACTTGGTTTATTCAAGTCATATTACATTCTCTGGGAGGAAGTTAATTAATTTTCCTTACATTTTCTCTTATTCGACCACATGCTATCTCATATCTTTCTGACATCTTGATTTATATTATAATACTCTCAGTAACAATAAAAATAAAGCAGTGATATCTGAAATTGAGATTAAATATAATTATTTTCAGGAAACGTATAATTTATTTTCATTTTCTTATCTCTTCAACTTAATGTGATATGTTATTCATAAATAATTCTTCAAAATTTCAATAACCATTGAAATCCTATTTACTTCGACTGGAGGGTAGATTTTAGAGTCTACATATTGGCCAGTATAATTATAAAACTTCATAAACTACCTTCCTTTATGGTGGTGTTTTGCAATTTATTTTCTGGTTAAATTCTTAGGTAATATGATTCACTTTTTTTAAGACAAATATTTCTACTGGTGATAATGTCACAACTAAAACTCAGTTGCTCATGGATTCAGAAAATAGGCTGTCATTGTAGTGTGACTGTCTGAATATTTCAAATAATAAAAAAATTTAGCATGGAACCCACCCACCAAAATATGTTTGAGTACTACAATGTTTGACATGTACAGAGATATTAATAAGATAAAATTTTATAGTATTAACTTAGGTATCTTGGCTCATTAGAAATCTACCTAAAATGAGAAAAAATATTATAATTCAACTGTAATTTTAAAAAAAATAAATAGCTTTACTGTTCTTATGCTGAATTTATCAATCCATTCTGACATTGGGTTGACACAGCCTTAGGCTGTTTTCTAATTTTTTTCTTATAAAATAAGCAATGCTGGAGTAGAAGAATATTGCTGGTGTTTTAGATCTATGTACAAAGATAAATTACTTCATATACTTGGATGCATTTTCTTCCTCCCCAACACATACACTTCTACAATCTACCCCATGATAACTGTATTGTAAGCTGAGAGGTTAAAATGTAATCGAGAGCTGAGCCTTTATATGACATGCTCACAGCAACCTTCATGAAAATTTCATTTGTTAAGAATGACTTACTTAGAGTAATAAAAGACAAAGATATTTTGAAACTATATCCTCTAACATCACCCCATCTTTCAGCGAATCCTTACTGCCAAAAAAAGACTGCAACCAGCTGTAAAATATAGAAAGTTATTTAATCTTAGAAATCTGGGGAGGCTGAGGCGGGCGGATCACGAGGTCAGGAGATAGAGACCATCCCGGCTAACAAGGTGAAACCCCATCTCTACTAAAAATACAAAAAAAAATTAGCTGGGCATGGTGACGGGTGCCTGTAGTCCCAGCTACTCGGGAGGCTGAGGCAGGAGAATGGCGTGCACCCGGGAGGTGGAGCTTGCAGTGAGCCAAGATCACGCTACTGCACTCCAGCCTGGGCAACAGAGCGAGACTCCGTCTCAAAAAAAAAAAAAAAAAAAAAAGAAATCTGGATTGTCTTCATTTGGTCTTTCAGAATCTTCATCTAAGCTCATTGCTAGAGTCATTTATTTCTCTAACAATAACCTCACATGTATATGTCTGTAGTCCCGACCACAAACTTGCAACTTGCATATATAAAGACTTTGCCATTTCGAGGCTTGTCACCTCAAACTCGCTATTGCAAAATTCACCTCCTCCACATCATCCCCAAAGCTCATTTGCTTTCCAGCTAACCCAATTCTGTCAATGAAGTTTTTTCCAGGTAACTTTCTAGATTCTCTATCTGGAAAACTTAGAATCATATATGATGCATCCTTCTTTAAAAAATACTTTATGTTCTCTATATCACTGAATCCCGCTAATTATTTCTTTAAAATAAATTCCAGTTTGAACCTTCTTCATGTTTACCAGAGGTTCCAGAAAGATAATCACCATTGTTTCTACCTAGATAATTGCAACATCCTTACGTTTACCTCCTTTCTTCTGTTTTAACTGTGTTTATAATTTATCCAATCTGCTACTATCACAGGCTATCAGAATTTTTTTAAAGTAGTTCACAAAGCTTTAAATAATTATTCCACTCCCCTGCACATTTTAGGAGGAAATCTAATATTTTTCCTGAAAACCTTAAATAACTGTAAATTATGTAATGCTTACCTCATTGTTATAGTCCTGTCTTAAAGCATGATTTAAATGTATCCAAAAATCAACATGCTATAACAATTTGATAATCATCAACTATTAAAATAAATTACAAATCTCATCATTAATTGTAGGAAATATTTCACCTGCTGTATTTCTAAAAAAATCATAGAAAATTTTTTTTTCTGAGTGTTGTATGGTCCTAATAAATATCTCGTCCAGTTTGACTAAATATAAAATATTAGTTTTTCTTTGCTTGAATATTCTAAATATATTATCTCATTGTCTTATGGTCTTAAGCATTGTCAAAAAGATTGATGACAAGCTGATTTTCCTTTCTTTGTACATTATGTAACCTGTCTGCCTAAATATCCAAAGATTATTTTTTTCTTTCCCTTTCTACTAAAACACTACTTTTCCTGTGATATGTCAATCTGTGGGTCACTTCGTGTTACTTTATGTATGAACTGTGACACTGCAAAATTTTGTTTACAGTAGATTTTTTTTCAGTTACATTTAAAAATTACATTTCTTTCTGTTGAATTGTTTTGCTTTGTAGGGGGAAAAAATCCTATTTTAGTTTGTTCATTTATCATGTCTCATATGCTATATCTAATACTTTAACTCAAATCCATTTGAATTTTTCATTTAAGAATATTAAAATTTCATATTTCCGTATTTTATATATCTTATGAAATTATCTATGACTATTTTTTAAAAAATTTTAATTGTTTTTATATCTCTTTCTTTCAAATACTTTCTTGACCTCATTTCTTATTTTCTTTGACTTGTGATTTAATTTGTTCTTTCACAGCTTCAATTCTTTTAGCACTAATTTTTTTAATTTTACTTTGAGTTCTAGGATACATGTGCAGAACATGCAGATTTGTTACATAGGTATACATGTGCCATGGTGGTTTGCAGTACCCATCAACCCCTCATCTATGTTTTAAGCCCCACATGCATTAGGTATTTGTCCTAATGCTCTCCCTCCCCTTGCCCCACACCCTCCAACAAGCCCCAGTGTGTGATGTTCCCCTCCCTGTGTCCATGTGTTCTCATTGTTCAGCTCCCACTTATGAGTGAGAACATGCAGTGTTGGGTTTTCTGTTCCTGTGTTAATCTGCTGAGAATGATGGCTTCTAGCTTCATCCATGTCCGTGCAAAGGACATGAACTCATTCTTTTTTTGTTTTTGTTTTTTTTTTGGCACTAATTTTAGATCATTTTAAAATACCAGGATATATTTTTAAATTTGTGAGCAGGTCTTTCTATTATGCTTTTACTCTTTTATGAATGTTATCCTGCTTTTTATTCTCTTTTCTTTATAATTATTTTTTATGGAAACATAATTATTTAAGTACTATTTATTTATTTATTTTTGAGATGAAGTCTCACTCTGTCACCAGGCTGGAGTGCAGTGGGGCGATCTCGGCTCACTGCAACCTCCGACTCCCTGGTTCAAGCGATTCTCCTGCTTCAGCCTCCAAAGTAGCTGGGATTACAGGTGTGCACCAGCACGCTGAGCTAATTTTTGTATTTTCAGTAGAAACGGGGCTTAAACATGTTGGCCAGGCTGGTCTCGACCTCCTGACCTCATGATCCTCCCACCTTGGCCTCCCAAAGTGCTGAGATTACAGGTGAGTATTCCCTTATTTATATATAACACATTTCAGATACTCATTTTTAAGTGAGATTAATGTTTTTGTATTTTTCAAAATGTAAAAATGAGCCAGCATAGTTTTTCTAACTCCACCATTCTAGAGCTTTTTTCTTCTGTTATTTTTATAAAATTATCAAACATGTTCACATGCTTTCTGAGATATCATTCCCCTAAACTCTTCTCTTTTCCCCTGTGTCTCTGTCCTGCTCATTTCCATCATATTTCCAACACTTTCTTTGTAACGGAGGGTCTTATCCTGGATGTGAACTTCGGCTTTTTAGGTTCTAGATTTCAAAGGGCTCAGACTGTCCTTCAAACAGTCTCCTTAAAATCACCCATTTGTTTAGGCCTAAAATCCCCCTCTCAGTTTTGGATACTCTTCTCAGTTTAATCTGGGAAGATTATCTTGGGTGACTTGAGGGTTCATCAGATTCCAGGGCTGCAAGAACCTATTTACTTTTCTTCTGATTCTCCTCTTGCAGTTTCTTATTCCACATGGGTTTTGTAGGTTTGACTACACACACATATTTCAGAGTTTATGAAACCATTTTTTCATGTGATTCTATGTAGATATTTCAATGGGACATTTGGTTTTGCTATATTAATTTATCTATCTTTTTTTAATTTAAGAGATTGGGGGAGATTCACCAAGCTACCCTGACAATGCATCCATCTATCCAGAATCCCACCCTAGCTTATTTTTTACAATAAATTTTTAGAGATCATGAATTATTTGTCTCTAGAAATCTTTTTGTTTTTGAAAACAATAAACTCTTGAAATTTTATTTATAGTATAGGTTATACTAATTAACTTTGGCTGTTTTTCTCACTTTATAATGATACAGAATTTCAATATTCCTTATAAAAGCTGACAAAAATACTTGAAGGAGGATTCCTCTATATTGTGAATGTTAATCAATGTTTGACTTTCTGTCAACATTAATGTTTGACTCTCTGTAAATCTAACTTAACTTATAAAGCCTAGAATGTGTATGTATACAAAAAACTGTTCAGTTTAACTCTGAAGCTAGCATAATAAAATTGTTATTAGGAATATATTATCAGGATGCATTAACTAAGGACCAAGACAAATGTTACCACTCAGAAATACCATTAAGAGTCAAATGTGCAACCTCCTTCAAATGATGTTATCTCCAAAAATATTTTCACACATATTTATCTCAGATTTGTGGTTACTTTCAATGACGATTCATATGCCTTCATTCATTAGATGTTTTTAAGTGTATACTCTGATTATCAACAGAACTGAAATATAATAATACATGAAATTTCCATAACTGGAAATTTACATTGAATATAATGCCAATCATCACTGTATATAACCCTCATTTTGGGAACAAGTTTTATTTTTATTTCTTATAATCAATTTACATGAAGCCACATAGTCCTCTTAATTTGAACTGGTCTTCTTAATATATGTTTATAATACCATATATACATTCATATTTACACATAAGGTAGAGCTACTAGATTTACTGCAAAGACATCAGATTTCTTAAAAGTATTTTCATCCAACTCAATTATTAATTATTAATGCAACTTTTCCCTGCTTCTACCCTTGCCAATCTACATTTTAGTCTTAAAAGAGCAGCAGAAGAGGCCTCTTTAAAACTATAAGCAAAAACATGTCACTCTTTTGTTCAAAACCATTCAGTAGTTCCCCATTTCACTCAGAGTCAAAGTAGAAGTCCTCTCTATGGCTCATATTGTATTACAAGATCTGGCCCCTCTTCATCTCTAATCTTACATCCCCAAGATGTAAGATTGTCACCAAGATTGTTTAGTCTACCACCAAGGCCAGCTTCACGGGCATGCAACTTATGTCCAGTGCTCAAGAGGACCCCAAATTTGTTTGATTCTTTATTGTCACCATCTTTAAATATTTAATACTTTTAACATTTTAATTGTATGTAAATGACATAACCTATTCTCTTGACCACTTTACTATGTCTTGACTATACCAGTCATTCCCCATTTTATCCTTTATAGCAGTTATTCCATTTCCTGGAATGCTGTTTTCTCAGAAAATTGGATGACTACCTTTCTTACCTCTTTACAATTTTTGCCCAAATGTCAGACCTAATCTGTACACCTGTAAAAAACTATAGTTATTCCACCATCATAAGCCCCTTCATATTTCTGATTTCCTCTTACCATGCTTCATATTTTATTTTTCTCTGTAATTCCTAATGCCTTACAATTTATGTCTATAGTATGGGTTTCTTTTCCTTTGCTTCTTTTTTGTTTCCCTTCATTTGCTTGTCTGTAGACCATAAAAGATAGTGATCTTTGCTTTGTTCACTGACATATATCAATCACCTACACAAGTTCCTGTTATGAGCTCATAAATCTTAGTTGGATAATGATTCTATTCATTCCACTTAACTAGAATGTAGCAACTGTAGCTTCGCTCATATGTATCATGTATTCACAAATTCATAATTTACCATTGAAAAAAACTTGCTACCATTTGGTCACGGTTTCCTGATTGGCATTTTATTGATCAAAAGAATGATACCCATCTAGAAATTAAATCATTTCACTGGACTTGAGAAAAACACTGACCTAAGTTTTATTCAGAAATTTCAATATGCTCACTAGCACTAGGTTTTTTTTAATCTCTCATAAATTAAAATCAGAAGACAAGAACTCTAGAACAGACTCATTATAATAATGCTTATATAAGATGTAAAAAAATCACAATTTCATGATGCCCTATACCTTATTTGTGATGTGAGAGGCAATAAATAAACGTTATGATGAAATTCTATGAGGCCAGATTGCCTGGGTTGTATTCAGGCTCTACCACTCTTAAACTGTGGGATGTTGAAAAGTTACTTACTTTCTATGACATGATTCCTTCATTACATATAAATGGGGAAAATAATAGTGCTTCTTTTTTTGAGTTTTGTAAAACCTACATAAGCTCATCAATATAACACATTTGGAACAGGCAAATTCTCAACATTCACTAAACAGGAATATACTAAACACTTTGCAAATACTTGCTAACATTACATGTAAAATGGGAAAATTAATGTTTGTGTATTGTGTACTGCTTTGGTTCTCGTGACACTCAAATATAAAGTTAAAAAGTCAAATTGAAAATTATAAAGAACTATAAAAATATGTATTTCATGATTCAGCTTTCTGCCTATCATATAATAATATTTCTTTTTTTGTTTTTTAAGAAAATAGCTCAGTGACACAATTATAGCTCACTACAGCCTTGAACTCCTGGCCTCAAGCAAACCTCCCGCCTCAGCCTCCCGGGCAGCTGGGATTACAAGTGCCAGTCACCTCACCCAGCATGTTTTTTAAGAAGTGATTTTGACATATAAAAGACAGTTTTTACTACATATATTTTTTTTCCTTTCTCTATTCCACCATGTTTGTCTCTAAGATGATGAGTACATCTTGTGTATTGCTATCTGGACATTAGAAAGATAAGAAATTATCAAGCCTGTAGGGTTCATGTGAACTATGTGGTAATGAATAAAGTCTTTCTGAGAAACATGAATGGAGGAAAAGAGACTATTATTTCAGGACTGATATTTGAAAACCAACACAAACTTTACAGGTAAACAATGGTTCCAAGTTCACTGACAATTTCTATTTCCTAGAGTAAGCAGCAGTAAACAGGGCTAGCCTAAAGAAGGAACAGAGGAGTATTTGTTAGAATTGTTAATGAAAAGGGTCATTTAAATTATTGTTATACAATGATTTTATTCGTATAGACCATTTAATTTCAAGAAACTTTGCACTTTAATCTCTTAGTTCTTTCTGTGCACTTCTAATGTGCATCATCAAGCATTTAATTGCATTTCAGTTACATGCCTTCTATGGATCTAGAGACTTTTTCTTTTAATCTGCTCAATCTTGTGATACATTGACTGACAATTGAGCATAGAGTTTAAAAAAATATATTTTTTTTCAACAAAGAACTCTTCTGTAACTCTGGAAGCCTGTGTAAACTGATAGCTTACAAGTAGCAGAGCAAAGACTCAAAATGAAATTTTATCCAGAGCTCACTCACATTTCCAAAATCAGGTTACTGACAGAAATATTCTCTCATTTCCTAGGGACCAAGAAATGTCTCAGTTTGCTAAACAACCTTATGGTATGCATGAGGGTACTAAAGAAATCTGATTCCAACCCTAAGGCCGGCTTAATTCACAGCTGCTGAATAGTTGATATCGGATTGGCCCTAAGCAGAAAGCTACTTGGAAACTAAAGTATGAAAATATTCTAATGTACCTGCATAGATCCAGATTTCACAATTGAAGAAGTCAAGCAGAAATTCAAACTGTAAACAAAGCCAGAACAAATGGTCATTTTTTTGGTGGCACCTCCCTAGAGAACAAGGGACATACATTTCTCTTCAATATGTCTCCACTCAACTTCATGGCAAACATGCAAATTGGTTTTAATATAATTTGTTTTCACCATTAAGAAGGTATATATCAATGGGAAACATTTTATTTTTCCAGATTTAAATTATTTGATCTGTGAAAGAATGATGATGGATAATTTTTCTACTATATGAAGTATACTAGAGATCTCATTCGAGATCTATCAAAAAGGAATCTTTATTTGGAAAAAAAAATGCATTAAAAAAGAAAAAAGTTACAATTCTTCAAAAAGTTATCAAGATTTATATTACTGGATTTTTTTAAAAAATGTAATATATCCTTACAGGAAGAAAATGATGCAATTACCTGACAACAATAATCAATAAGTAAAGGAATAACATTACTAAATTTAAAAATGCTAAAAATTTTTGAGGGAAGCAAAGGGAAAAGTTAGAAGATACATATAGAGATAGGCAGAAAAACAGAGCATGGAGCGATTTTCATTATCGTTGTAGTCAAAGCTTTGGACCACAAGCATTAGAGGAATAACCCTGACTCAAAGGTCATTCTAACCAAGTCACAACTGTATGTTCTACATGGAAGTTTGAGGTCAAAGCTTTGTGCTAAATGCCTGCACTATACCATCTGTATATCTACTATGTGAACTTTGGCTAGGGCAAAAACTGTTAAAGGATTCAGGATTCTACTAGTTCTTCAAAGATGCATATAAAGTATAGCATAGTATGATTTCATCTGATTTACAGTCATAGAAAGGGAGAAAAAAGTCATTGTGGGGTTCTGTGCTTTAGTGTATGTAATTTACTTTTACGGGAAGTTGTTTCATTCCAGAACAATCTTGTTTATCATAAATACTGAATCTTGGAAAATCACCTATTAATTCTATAATAAATGAGTCACAAGGAATATCAGGCTGAATTTCAACAAATAATTTCAGAATTATATCCATCATAATTTACACCTGAACTTTTTAGTATAAAAGGAAGCCATAATCATTGAATTAATAATCCAACATAATAATCACTCAATAGGAGGGTTAGGATGGTATTGATGAAAAAGAACCCATGTACTATTAACTATAGTGAAGTTTCATAGCACTTTTAACCTCCTTTGTCTTTCTTTTTTTTAGATTTTATATTTTACTTAAACCCAAGTACCTAAATGCTATTAATAGTATGTGGATTATGACAATTCAGAGGCTAATGAAATCGCTGAATAGCTTATATGGCTACCCAGAAGGGATTTGGAGGCAAGATGTACTTTAGGTTGACATTCTATGTAGTAATTTGTATTATAGTGAAATGAGTCTACAAAGTATCTAGTAGACCAGGAAAAAAACAGTGATTTTTTTTTTTTTTTTAAGAATAACATCCTTTTATCTCTTCTTATGCACTTACCCTCTTAGGTTACTTAGCTTGTCACCACAATAAATAGCTTCTACCTCCTGCTAAGCCATGCTCAGTGGGGGCTTTGTAAGGTCAGAAAACTAAGCAAACAGGAACAGAGGATGAAAGGAAAATAGTTTTATAAAAAGGCAGAAATGTTAGGAAAACATAGAAAAATATATACGGTTAGTCTACAGTAGTACTTTGCAAAGCATGCTGTATGTAACATGAAATCCATAAAATATTTTTATCGTGAGACAATCCATTAAAAAGTGCCATATTCAAAAACTGTGGAAAATCTGCATATGCCAACAGATTCAAAGGTATGTTTGCACATCTAATGCTCTAACTCATGAAGAGAAGAAACTTATTTAACCTTGCTTAGCTATGTGATTCCAAATGTGTTTGATTGTTGAAGTCTTTCTACCACTTAATTCCTATCAAACAGCTGCTTAAATCAGGGTTCTGCAAATCACACTTTGGGAAAACGTGGTTTGGGTTAAATAGTCAAGTGTTGATTGTTCCCTTCCAAAATGAAAATTAAAAGAGCTAAATATATTCAAAAGACAAACATTTTATATTTGCATTTCTCATGCATATATTCATTCATTTAAAAATTTAAAAATAAAACAACTATCTGTGAGATCATGTCAGTCAAACTGGAGTTCCTGCCACCCTGTTGATTAGATAGTGCTTTAATCCCTTGGATTGAAATTCTTTAAAAAATTACAAGACACCATTTCCTTTTTCTCTCCCAAATATACTGCCAAGGAGGGTACAGCTATAACAACCCATTGCTCTCACCTTCTTCAAGTATCCTACTGGTTTTGTAACCAAGAGAAGGAAGCATGGCTCACTTACAGAATGAGGCAGACAGACGGATTTTCCACCGTTAAAGCCGAGTATCTGAATTCTACCCTTTAACTCTACCAACAGTGTGAGAAAGTGTTTTGACACCCTTATGATTTCTTCAGAGCAGAAATTTTGGACCTAGTGTGACCTCCAGCCATAAATGTCAGATCTCATTTGGAATAAAAAGGGAAGAATTTCCTTCAGTTCCTTTTACAGGAAAAAGAAAAGCAACCTAGCATGATCTAAACAAATAAAAGCCTTAACTTTTGTAGATATATATTCTTCTCTTTTAATTCAGATATTCAGTCTGTTTTCAGAAAAGAGTCCATAAATATTGGTGTATAATATATAGGAGTAAATGTCTGTTTATATCATTGCCTTCATATGAGAAGGCTGCGTGTGTGGGATAGTCTTAATGTCAAGGGACTAGATGCAGTTACCTTCCAATAGAAAATATAGCAATATTATATACAAGATTATAATATAATTAGACAATTAGAAATAGACATATGCACAGAATTAAAGATAGAGTATTAATTAGAGTCATTTGAGCTATTTCTAAAGAAAAGGTTAAAATAGGAATAATAAGAGGGACAAAAAGCAACAGCATGTTATGCATAGGATATTATATGCATATAATCAAAGATATAAAGAGACTGAAAGTGGTGAAGTATGACACAATGTTCTTATCTGGGTGACTGGGCTAACTGTGATACTGCAATATGATTTTGAGAATACATAAATAGACTGCGAGGATGGGATGATGAGCTTATTATAGTGCATTTTGTTGTGGAAGTATCCACTAAATGTTTAGATAGCAAAGGGGATGGGAGAGGTGGAGGGAGGTCTGGCCTAAAGCTACAAAACTGGTAATTTTCAGCACATCAGAGATAACTGAAAGCCTGAGAGAGAATTAGATAAGCCAGATAAGTGATAGGTTGGGAGAGATTTAGTGAGAATACCTTAATTTGAAGGGATCCATAGGGAATATTATATCCAACTACATATTATTTTAATATTATATATTATATTAATGTCTTATTTCTCTTTATGTGCCATTTACCTTTTTAAATATGTTTACACTTAAAAAGCAGTCTTGCAGTATATCCAAATAATTTAAATCTTTGTAGAAAAAGAAAACTCCTACCTTCCAAATAGTTTGTCAGTACTACTATTGAACCCACACACCATGAGTGTAACCAAAGTCCTACTCTTTTATTTGTCCTTTAATATAAATAGGGAAATTCCAATTTTAAACATAAATAAATCTTCGCTTGAGGTGATATTTTATGCAGAATTATTGATGAATTATGTTAAATTGTTCCTATATTAATATGATGTCATCAGTACTATTATTCAGGACACATTCTCTTCCATGTTTCAGGGTAACTGAACTTTAGAATTAGATATAGATGGTATTATTTATTTTAGGAGAGCAATATGGCATAACGGAGATTGCATGGACTTCGGAATTGAAAAACTCAACCTCAAACTGTAATTTTTTTTTTTTTTTTTGAAACAGGGTCTGGCTCTGTCACCCAGACTGGAGTGCAGTGGTGCAGTCTTGGCTTTCTGTAGCCTCAACCCAGGTTCAAGCAACCCTCCCACTTCAGCTTCCCCAGTAACTGGGACTACTGGCACACACCACCATGCAGAGCTAGTTTTTTGGATTTTTTTCTAGAGGATCTCAAATAATTTAGTGTTAGAAAACACACTTCAGCCAGTTGTAGTCCACCTGTCCACACACACACAAAAGTGTAGAGCTTGAAGATAGTTTATGTACAACCCAAAATCAGATATACAATATTTTTCAAGACTGCAGAAGATTCCCTCATTCATTTTTCTGTTCATTTCTCACCCTCAGTTTTCTAATTATTCTGGCTTTCTTAACCATCATTTAGTCCATTCTTGAAATTCACATAAATGGATTTATATAATATATCCTCTTTTGTGTCCTGCTTCTTTTGCTCAACATAATGTTGATAAAATTAATCTACATTATTCTGCATATTAAGATTTTATTATTTTATAGATTAGTATTGATTTTGAATAGGTGGGTAGCATTTATTTTTTATAGGTGGGTATTATCTATTTTTTATATGTAAGTAGTTTTTTTTTATAGGCTGGTAGTATTTCATTGTTTGAGTGTATTACCACTCATCGATTTTCTTATAGGTAGATTTATGGGTTGTTTCCAGTTTGGAAATATGAATAAACCTGTCGTAAATATCATTTCGGATATGAGTTTTGAGAATCTATGCACTCATGTCTTTCAGGTACGTAGTAGCAATGGATTTTCTGAGTCAGGATGTAGGCAAATGTTTAGCTTTAGTAGATACAAGCAGTTTTCCAAAGTCTTTTAACCAATTTATACAATCACCAAAAGTGAATACAAGTTCCGGTTCCTCTACATCCTTGCCAATTATTAATACTGTAAATCTATTTAATTTTAGCTATTCCATAGGTGAAAAAGTGGTATATCATGGAGGAATCAATTTGTTTCTCCAATGGTAGATAATGTTAAATATTGTTCCATATACTTATTGGAGGTTTGAATATTCTCCTTTATAAAGTTCCAGTTAATGTTAATTTCTTTCATTGGATAATATATTGATTTCCTCTTTATTCCTGAAGGATATTTTCATTAGATAAAGAATCTTGGTTGGTAGTTCTCTTCTTTCTGGCCTTTATGGTTTCTGATGAGAAATCTGTTGCCTATTAGAATTATTTTTGCCTTATTGGTAATGTGTCATTTCTCATTTACAGCTTTCAATGTGTTTTCTTTGTCTTTAGTTTTCAGAAGTTTAACTGTCATGTCTGTTGGTGTAATATTTTTTGTTTTATCCTGTTGAGAGTTTGCTCAATGTATTAGTCAGTGTTCTCTAGAGAATCATAACCAATGAGATAGATGATAGATAGATAAGAGGGGATTATTAAGGGAATTGGCTTAATTGATTATGGAGGCCAAGGAGTCCCGTGAACAGTCATCTGCAAGCTGAAGACTCTGAAATGCTGGTATTACGTATGGTTCAGTCCAAGTCTGAAAGCCTCAGAACCAAGGAAACTAATCATGTAACTCTCGAAGGCAAAAGCCCAAGAACCCGAGGGGCTACTGGTGTAAGTTTTGGAATCCAAAGGCTGGACAGCCTGGATGTACCAGGTTAGCAGAAGAAGGGTATTCCAGCTGTAGAATAGAAAGAGAAAGAATTTGCCTTTCCTTGGCCTTTCTATTCTATCAGGACCCTCAGATAATAGGATAGTGCTCATCCACACTGAGGGCAGATCTTTCCTAGCCAGTCCACCAACTCACATGCCAACCTCTTCTGGAAATACCCTCTCAGACCTACCCAGAAATAAGGTTTTTCCAGCTCTCTAAGTATTTCTTAATCCAGTCAGGTTGACAGCTGACACTATCACACTTAGCTTCTTTAGACTAATGTGTTTCTGTTTTTGCCAGCCTAGAGACATTTTTAGCCATTATTTTTTAAGTACTATTACAGCCTCACCTTTTTTGTTTCCTTCTTGGACTCTAATAACATGAATGTTATGGTTTTTTTTTTTCATTATAATCCCACTGTTCCTGCCCAGTTCTGTCCACTTTTTATTCAGTCTATTTTCTTTCTATTCTCATTAAGTAATTTTTGTTGTTGCATCTTCAAGGTCTTTGTCTCCTTTGTTTCATCCATTATGCTGTTGAAATTATCCATTGAGTTACTAATTTCAATTATTTTATTTCTCAGTTCTATAATTTTTACTTAGTTCTTCTTTATATCTTTACTTTCTTTACTGAGACTTTCTACTTCCTTGCCATAGATTCCTATTTTTATGTTTCAAGCTATTTTTTGTGGCTTATTTAAGTATTTTTATTATGGCTGCTTTAAAATCTTTGCCAGATAATTCTAACATCTCTGTTATCTCAGTGTCAACATGTATTGATTATCTTTTTAATTCAGTTTGAGATCTTTTTGGTTCTTGGTATGATGTATAATTTTATATGAATACCTAGATATTTTGGGTATTATAAAATGCTGCATCTTACTTAAGCCTGTTTTAGCTCTCTTTCTCTGACATCACTCTGGCAGGGGAAGAGTGGGGCACCCCCTTGTTACTGCCAGAAGGGGACAGAAATTCGGTTCTACACTTGGCCGACATCTATACTCAAGGAGGGAAGGTACTAATTATTGTGAGATATTAGGAGTTCTGGCTCACCGCTAGATTTCTACTAATATCTCCCTATCTAGTAGGAGAAGGGGTGCCTTGTTTCTGTATCTCACATGACCTGTACTTACACTAAGATAGCTGGGGGTGGGAAGCCTTATTGCTACTGAGAAGGTGAAAGCATTGACTCTCTGAGAGACATCTTTTAATACCTTCCCAGTGAGGAAAAGAAAGAGTAACAGTTCATTACTGCAAGGTAGAAGTGAAAATGGAGGCTTACCATTTGGTCTTCATTAATACCATGTGAGGGTCCTTGTTACCACCTGGAGAGAAGGAATGTCTTGGTACCCAATTCAGCCTTCTCTGACACCAGCCCTGTAGGGTAGAGAAGGGAGGTTTATAAACTTCACTACAACCTAGAGACAATGAAAATCTAGGCTCTGAACTCTGCATTTGCTGGCTGGATGAGGGTGGTACCATGGTCTTTCTTAAGGTGTTTTTCTTCAATAAAGAGTTTATTGTATAAAAGTTTCTGTCTTGCTAGATTGCCATTTTTCTGTTCTTTCAGTTAGGAACAGCAGGCATCTGTTAGGACTTTTTAAAAATATGTTTCTGTTGGCATTACCAGGTTACTATCTTAGCCAGCTCGCAGTTTGGAATATGTGAATCAAAAAGAAAATCCAGGAAACTCATCACTACATCATTTCTCCGGTACTGAGGCCCCTAAACTGCCTGATTCTCTCTCTCCACCTTTCAGAATACGTTTTATATATGTCTCAGTTTTTAATTGTACATAGCCAGAGGAATAGGGAAAAATGTGTCTAATCCCAGGCAAAAGTATATATACATATATATATGTATATATATATACATATATATATATATACACATATATATGTGTATATATATATATATACACACACACACACACACATACACACAAACACACATATATGTATTTGTGTGTGTGTGTATATATATATATATATACTTTTTGTGTGTGTGTGTGTGTGTGTATATATATATATAAAACTTTTCATTATTGGCTCTATAACCACATAACACAACCAAATTTTAAAATTCTAGTGAAATAAATTTCTAAATAAAATATTCACAAATACTTATTTGATACTAAATCGAATAAGTATCATCTTATCAGATATAACCATTCTCTTTTAAGGCTAAGAACGAGGAGCATCTCCTTGGTTATAGCTTAATACTTGCCGTGGCAAAATGTGCAAACTTACAAGAGAAATGCAATATATATACATATATATAATATATATATAATATAAATTATATATGTACATATATGATTTATATATACACATATATATACACACAGTTGTGTAATAAATTAAATAATAATTATCTTTGAAAAAAGTGGGACTTGGGATCAAACATAAGATTTGAAGAATACAATAAAAATATTAATAATTTCTGATATGGGATGGTGAGTATGTACCCAGGCATATGATGAAAGATCTATAGAGTTTAATATATTTTTATCATTTCACAAAATAAAAATTATTTGCATATGTGGAATGATGTATACAACACTGAACCATTACATCTGAAAATCGAAGTAAAACAGGTAATTTACAAAGAAAATTTTATTTAATGAAGTTGGCTGAATAAGTAATAAAAGTTTGAAGGAAAAAACAATAGGAAATTATGAAAATAGTAAATATATTTTGTCCTAAATTAGAATACACTGAGGTTATTTTATTCTGAGTTCTGAAATGCCTTCAGAAAGTAGTTTCCATTATTTACACTATTTGAGAACACAAGAAAAGTTGTGAAACTTTTTAACTTTTCATTATTGGCTCTATAACCACATAACACAACCAAATTTTAAAATTCTAGTGAAATAAATTTCTAAATAAAATATTCACAAATATAATTTACCAGTGTTTTGAAAATAAAATATATCATGACAAAAGTAATATTCAACCCTGAGAAGACAACACATATTAAATTCCCTAAGAATTAAATTTTTGGTAGTCATTCTAAGTTGTCAAAATATTGTAATAAAGCATAAATTTATAAAATAAAATATCAAACTCTTAATATGACAGGACTAATTTACCCACCATGTAAGATAACTATTCTTAGTGGAGAGTTAAGAAATAATGTATTAAAGACAGAAAAATGTGTGAATAGTTGCATCTAGGTAAACTGTAGCCTAAGTGCACAATATAGGGTAAACAATTTAGTAAAATGTGGTATACAACCCATATTCTAAGAAAATAAACATTTTATTGACAGAAGCACTGGGAAGAAAATTTGACTTGATGTCTTAAACTTGAGTTATTGTTCTTAATTTCTTAATTCAATGATATTAGAACCTAGATGTTTTTGAATCAGCTACATCTCATTTTTATCCTCTATACATCCTATTGAATGTATTATCCTACTATAAACAGTTGACCTGGAAACACAAAATTCATGAATACTGAAAGAAAACTGTGATTTTTTTCACTATTTTTAGTTTTGTTTTAAAGAATTTCTTATTGTTGTGTTTGTAAACACATGTACGCATGCATATACACAGAGTTGCATTTCTCTTGTAAGTATGCACATTTTGCCACGGCAAGTATTAAGCTATAACCAAAGAGATGCCCCTCATTCTTAGCTTTAAAAGAGAATGGTTATATCTGATAAGATGATACTTATTTGATTTCTTACTTGATCTGTTGGCTGGAACACCTAAAATCAACTCCTCAGTCCTTCTCTTACATGGTCCTCTCTCTAGTTGAGGCAACCTCCAAGACTCTAGACACCAATCTCTGATTCTCCTATTTTCTTGAATTATTCAACTTTATGGTCATCTCCATCCTGACTTTCTAACTATTTGAGCCACATTCGTATCATATTTTAGGATCAATCAAGAACTGCCTAGCCTGAGGGCATTTTGAATAGCAGCATTCTGTATCTGAAAGTTCTATAAAACAGAGACTCAGTATAAAACTGAAGGAAACCTAGACAAGGAAAAATCTTTAAGTTGGTTTACTCCACCAGTTTCTGATGTCCTTCCTCGGTGACACTCCAGAGGATCAAAGCCAGGTCTAGGATTGTAATTCAGAGTTCAGAGGTGGCAGGAATAGGAGTGAAGTGGAGTCAACCTCTCAGCAGAGAGACTTGCCTCACATATAGGAAAATAACAACAAAACTTCTCTAAAAAGTATATTTTTGGTGAGCTATCATGAATCTTCTTTTAGGAAAAAAAATACAGCTTATTTTGTTGAATTTTTTGGTGTCATTTAAAAAATTCCAGCCTCCAGTTCTCTGATTAAAACACCTCCCAACTTGACTCAGGTCAAAACCATTAATTAAGACAAGCATAATCTCTCCTACAATGTGAGCTGAAATTTCCCCCAATTATCTTTTAGTAACTCAGCTTCTGGTGACAAATTATTCCATATTAATCAAAACACTTGTATGAACTCTGTAGGTAGAAGGCCACACTGCTTTGCCTCTAAGGAACTTGGATTCCACCTTCAAGATCTCGTGTCAGAGAATGATTCATGACTGACAAGAATCCATGCTGAAGGCTAACCTTAGGGCTTCTGAGACCTGCGGCCCCACCCTTTCTCTTAATGAATGGCGAACAGTCTTCCATCTCTTAAGTCTTGTAGAGCCTAATTCTTCTATCAGTTGTTCTGCTCTTTGTTGTAGTATTAAAATAACGTCAATGACTTCCAGGATTTATTTTACATAGAAATTGCTTCTAATAAAGTTGCTCACCTGTTGCTAATGTTGAATTTGCCTGGTCAAGTCAAGTTGATCATTAGTCCCAGCAAGTGCTACACATGTAGTTCTTGGGACATAGTTAAATTGACCTAAATTCCCATGAAATCGTATACAGTTGATCTCTTATCTTTTACCCAAATTATTTTTAAAAGAAAATTCAACCTGTATCACTTCACTGATAGAATTAACATTTAAAGCTGGGTGGCTTATGCCTGTAATCCCAGCATTTTGGTAGTGCTGGGCGGATCATCTGGAGTCCAGAGTTTGAGACCAGCCTGGCCAACATGGTGAAATCCCGTCTCTACTGAAATTTTAAAAAATTAAAGGGACGTGGTGGCATGTGCCTGTAATCCCAGCTACTCGGGAAGCTGAGGCAGGAGAATCACTGGAACCAGGAGGCAGAGGTTGCAGTGAGCCAAGATCGCAGCACAGCACTCCATCCTGGGTGACAGAGCAAGACTCCATCTCAAAAAAATAAAAAGAAAGAAAAGAAATACAAAAAAAAAAATTAGGAACTGCCTATATTTAAATACTGTGATTTCTTATTTAAAACAAATTAATGAGGGCCTGGCCTGGTGGCTCACGCCTGTAATCCTAACACTTTGGTTGGCTGAGGTGGGTGGATCATTTGAGGTCAGGAGTTCAAGACCAGCTTGGTCAACATGGTGAGAACCCCGTCTCTACTAAAAATACAAAAATTAGCCAGGAGTGGTGGCACACACCTGTAATCCCAGATACTCAGGAGGCTGAGGTAGGAGAATCACTTGAACCCAGGAGGCAGAGGTTGCAGTGAGCCAAGATTGCACCAGCCTGGGTGACAGAGTGAAATTCCGTCTCAAAAAAATAAATAAATAAAAAATAAAAATAAATTAATTAACGAGAATATAGCAGTAGTTTTTAGATAAAGGGTAAATGATATTTTTCTGTAGATGGTTAAGCTTTTCTTGGCAGGTACTAAATGATCAAGGGTCACACTGAAGGTGTTCTGATTGAAAAATAATAACTGCACCTTATAATGTTTATATAGAGGAGACTTGCTTCTGCGTTTCTGAAAGTTCTACATCTCACCTTTCTCCTTTTACAGGAATGTGTTACGGAGGGATGGGAAAATCTCCACAGTTTTGTTACTGATTATCTGAATATATACACAGCGGAAGCTAGTTTTCAACTACCATTTTCCCCCGCAATTCTCCCCTGAGAAGTGTCTCTTGAAGTTGTTTAGTTGAAAGTTTAAATGGTAACGAGACCAGAAATGATATTTAGGATTCTGTACGGGGATAAGGAATTGAAAGAGGGCAGGCTCCTGAGATTAGTCTATGGTGACATATGAACACAATTATGGCCTCAGGCTGACCATTGAGAATCCATGAACCAAGGATTTAGCAATAAAAAGATTTGGTGCCCTTTTGCTGAGAGAATCTTTGTTCCTCTCCTAAATTTCACAGACAGCACAAATAGAAGAAAGAAAGACAAACATGCACATGGAATGTGTAACCAGTTTAGGGGAAGAAAGGTTAATTAGTAGCAGAAATGGTTAAGGTTGCACTGTAAGAGAAAGATCTTCTTAAGGACTCCACTGAAAAGCAGGGCATCAAAGGATCATAAAAGAGCAAGGGGTGCACACAGTAGAAATATGGATTTTGTTATGTCAGAGCCTAGATTTTTAAAGAACTACTATGATGGGGCTACAAAAGTGTACACAGATATTTTGAACTCCAGAGTTCATATCTTCCCTACAGAGTTGTATTAGTCAGTTCGAAATTTTAAAACTTTGTTAAAACTTTATCAACTCTTTTATATTCAGCTGTTTTGAATATTTATGTTATCTAATATTTATGTTATCTAATGTTATCATAATTGTTCTCTTTCCTGTATTGTGAATTGTCAGTTCATAGTGTATTTATCTATTATTATATCAGTATTTTCTTATCTATTTGTCTGAGGCATTTAAACTTTAATGATAGAAACAGTCTAATTTGTTTTAATAATTTGATTCATAGTATTTGTCTTTTAATTGCAGTTTCCTCAAAGTTGTAGTATTTTATGCTGAGAATTTACTGACATTCTTATTTGGAAGTTCTTCCATTGCTTTTAAATTCAGATAACTTGCCCTGCTGAATTTTTTTTCCCACAATACTTTTATAATATACAACACAACTAGTATTATTTAGAGCCTCATTATGATATCATTAGGACATCATCTTTAATATGTTTATTTGTGTTTGTTTCTGCTTCTGTATTAATCTGAAAACAAATTTTATTTATAAAGTAGTTATTAGTTCCCTCATATTTTCTTATCAAACTAAAGCAAAGGGGTGGAGAAAAATAATATTGCCTATTTTAGCAAGAATGTATGATAAGTAGCTGTTGAGGAACATACTAATAGTATAGTAAAATTCTGGAAGGTAATAATTTCTTAAAGCCATTACAAGCACTGTGTCTTTGAAAATTATGCATGTGATAAAAACAATGAAAGAAATGATAGCATCTGCACTGCTAAGCAACAACCTGAGAAAAGCAAACTGTCAAAATATAATTTTTCCTTCCACATAGCATATGTAGTAACACACTACAGGGACATAAAATGCCAAGGGAATCTATAAAGTCTCTTTTAGAATTATTAGATATCTATTAATTTTGTAATTGAAAACTATGCTTTGTTTGTAAATGTGTATGCGATGTGTACAAATATTCTGAAATATCTTTAATTTATAAACTATAAATATTATCTATGGAAACAATTTTAGGATAATAAGGTACTTCATTCCAATTTCCTCACAAAAAGAAAGTGGTAACCAGGAGGTTTGAATAGCTTGTAAATTATTAAAATTTTGGGAAGGTCATAAGATGATCAGCACAAGCATGTTTCACTTCATGTAGCTACTGGAGTAGGATGTAGTGTGATTGAGAAGGATTAGATTCAGTTCTGTCACAGTCATTCAGTGATTCTGCTTATTGTGACAGCCCAAGTATCATGAGGGTATTGACAAATGTTGATATAGAATTATATGCTTCAAATTATCTTCTTAACCCATTTATTCCTAAGGTTGCAATGTCTTGAATTTTTGCAATCAGACTTTGGTGATGATCTTGATCAGTAGGATATAAACAACCCCCACATGCTCAGTGTTCCAATAATAAAACACAAGGCATACATGGAATCATTGAAGAAAAAATTCATTAAAATGTTAATATGTATAACCAAAAAAAATTTTACTATCTAGGAACTAAGACAAAGCTTTCAATTAAACTATGTTGATTCACTCGTTACTAAATTATAATCAACAATTACACATACACAGTAACATATAATGATAATAATAGTAGTAATACTGCTACTAATACTAATACTAATGATTTTTTTAAAATCTAGGAAGCACCAGGCATTGCATTGTGCATTTTATATGCTTTCTCTATTTAATCTTCACAAAAACTCTACATAGAAGTTACATTCTATAACAATGCCTCTCACACTTTTTTATTTAGTTTTTTTTTTTTAATTCAGACTGAAAATGTCCAAAGACAGGGATAACATGGCAAAATCAGAGTATAAATCTAAGTGTTTAACTTAACTGTGTAATACTGGCAGTTGTCAATTCTAAAAAGCATTTTAACCTTTTTTATTTTATCTGGTAAAAATTATATGTTTAAAAGACAAAGGAGTAATTTCAACATTTAGGATGATGGTTAATTATGGAAGGGAGGAGGACAGGATAGGAAAGTAAGGAGCAAAGAGATAGAGTTAATATTTGCAATGTTCTGCTTTTTTTTTTTTTCTTTTTTTGAGACAGAGTCTCGCTCTGTTGCCAGGCTGGAGTGCAGTGGCACGATCTTGGCTCACTGCAACCTCCACCTCCCAGGTTCAAGTGATTCTCCTGCCTCAGACTCCCAAGTAGCTGGGATTACCGGTGTGTGCCACCATGCCCAGATAATTTTTGTGTTTTTAATAGGGACAGGGTTTCACCATGTTGGCCAAGATGGTCTCGATCTCTTGACCTCATGATCCGCCTGCCTTGGCCTCCCAAAGTGCTGGGATTACAGGTGTGAGCCACCGCGCCTGGCCTGTTCTGCTTTTTAATTGAGGTGGTAGATCCATAGGTGTTTGTTCTATATTTATTACCAATATGTGATATATATTATATATATATATAAAATACATATATAATCAATTAAACAATTTTAAAGTTTCTCAAATTTCTGGTAATTTAATATCCATTCAGATAATATAAAGTACATTTTTGAACTGATTAGGCCCATCTAGAACCTTGCTTAAAAATGCTGTGCCAATCAGAAATGAAAAAGGTTACGTTACAATCGATTCCACAGAAATATAAAATCCTCAGAGACTGTTACAAACATCTCTATGAATACAAAACTAGAAAATCTAGAGGAAATGGATAAATTCCCAGAAACACACAATCTCCCAAGATTGAATCAGGAAGTAATTGAAACACGGAAAAGACCAATATTGAGTTCTGAAATTGAATAAGAAACAAAAAACCTCCAACCAAAAGAAGCTCCAGACCAGATGGATTCACAGCTGCGTTCCACCAGACATTCAAAGAAGAATGGATACCAATTTTACTGAAACTATTCCAACAAATTAAGGAGGAAGGAATCCTCTGTAACTCATTCTATGAAAGCAACGTCACTCTGATATCAAATCCTGGCAAAGACACCACAAAAAAAGAAAACTACAGGCCAATATCCCTGATGAACATAGATGCAAAAACCCTCAACAAAATACAAGCGAACCAAATGCAGCAGCACATAAAAAGTAAATTCACCATAATCAAGTAGATGTTCTTGCTAGGATGCAAGGTTGGTTCAACATACACAAATAAATAATGTGATTCACCACATAAACAGAATTGAAAACCAAAACTATATGATCTCTCAAAAACACGGAAAAAGGCTTTGATAAAATCAAATATTCCTTCATGATAAAAACACTCAGGAAACTAGACATCGAAGAAGCATACCTCAAAATAATAGGAGACATCTATGATAAACCCACAGCCCACATTATGCTGAATGGGCAAAAGCTGGAAACATTTCCCTGGAGAACTGGAACAAGACAGGGATATCTACTCTCACTATTCCTTTCAACATAGTACTGAAAGTCCTAGCCAGGGCAATCAAGCAAGAGAAAGAAATAGGCATCCAAATAAGAAAAGAAGAAGTGAGATTTTCTCTCTTCACTGACAACATGATTCCACATCTATAAAAACCCTAAAGACATGAGCAAAAGGCTCCTGGAACTAATAAACAACTTCAGGAAAATTTCAGGATACAAAATTCATGTACAAAAATCAGTAGCATTGCTATACCCCAATAAGGTTCAAGCTGAGAGTCCAATTAGGAATGAAATCCCATTTACAATAGCTACAATAGAAAAAAATATATATCTAGGAATACACCTAACGAAGGAGGTGAAAGACCTTACAAGGAGAACTACAAAATACTGATGAAAGAAATCATATAAAGGACAAACAAATGGAAAAACATTTAATGCTCATGGACGGAAAGGAACAATATAATTAAAATAATCATACTGCCCAAAGCAATCTATAATTCAGTGTACTACCTATCAAATTGCCAATGTAATTTTTCAAAGAATTATAGAAAAACCATCCTAAAATTCATTTGGAACTAAAAAAGAGCCGGAATAGCCAAGGCAATCCTAAGCAAAAAGAACAAACCTGGAGGCATCAAATTACTCAACTTCAAGCTATACTAAAAAGCTACAGTAACCAAAACATCCTGGTCTTGGTCCAAAAACAGACACATAGACCAATGGAACAGAATACAGAGCAAAGAAATAAAGCTGCACACCTACAAATATCTGATCTTTGACAAAGTTGACAAAAACAAGCAATTGGGAAAGGACTCCTTATTCAATAAATGGTGCTGAGATAGCTGGCTAGCAATAAGTAGAAACTGGACCCATACTTTTCACTACATATAAAAATTAACTCAAGATGGATTAAAGACTTACATATAAGACCTCAAACTCTAGAAATCCTGGAAGAAAATCTAGGAAACACCATTCTGGACATTGGCTTCAGGAAAGAATTTGTGGGTAAGTCCTAAAAAGCAACTGCAACAAAAACAAAACTTGACAAGTGGGTCCTAATTAAACTAAGGAGTTTCTGCACAGCAAGATAAACTATCAACAGAGTAAACAGACAGCCAACAGGATGGGATAAAATACTTGCAAACTATGCAGCTGGTAAAGATCTAATATCTAGAATCTTTAAGGAATTTAAACAAATCAACAAGCTAAAAACAAATAACCCACTTAAAAATGGGCAAATGATATAAAGAGACACTTCTTAAAGGGAGACATACAAGCAGCCAACAAATATATTTTTAAAATGCTACACATCACTAATTATCAGAGAAATGCAAATCCAAACCACAATTTGGAGACTCAGGGGAAAGGGTGGGAGGGAGGTTAGAGAGAAAAGACTACCCATTGGGTACAGCGTACACTGCTCGGGTGTTGGGTTTACCAAAATCTCAGAAATCACCACTAAATAACTTATTCATGTAACCAAACACTATCTGTTCCCCAAAGGCCTACTGAAATTTTAAAAATTCGTAAAAAAAAATTAAATAACTTGAAAAAAAAAACAACCTGAATGAGATACCATCTTACACCAGTCAAAATGGCTATTATTAAAAAGTCAAAAAAAAAAAAACAGATGATGGTGAGGCTGTAGTGAAAAAGAAATACTTACACACTGTTAGTGGAAATGTAAATTAGTTCAGACACTGTGAAAAACAGTGGGGACATTTTTCAAAAAACTTAGAACTACCATTTGACCCAGCAATCCCATTACTGGATATATCCAAAAGAAAATAAAATCTTTCTACTAAAGAAACACGTGCACATATATGTTTACTGCAACACTATTCACAATAGCAAAGACATCATCACTGATAGGTGATCATCAATGCCGGATTGGATAAAGTAAGTGTAATATATCTATAACATGGAATACTACTCAGCCATAAGAAAGAATAAAATCATGTTCTTCTGTAGCAACATGGATGCACCTGGAGGCCATTATCCTAAGCAAATTAATGCAGCAACAGAAAACCAGACCAGTTTTCCTCTAATTCTGCATTTTCCTAATTATAAATGAGAACCTAACACTGCATACTCATGGACATAAAGATGGAAACAATAGACACTGGGGACTACTAGAGAGGGTAGGGCAGGAGGGGAGCAGGTATTGAAAAACTACCTATTGTGTACTATGCTCAGTACCTGGGCGAGATCCACTGTACATCAAACTTCAGCATCACACAATATACCCAGGTAACAACCCTGCACATGTACTCTCTGAATCTAAACTAAGAGTTGAAAAAAAAAACATAAAATAAAAATAAAAGGAAAAGTAAAAATGCTGTACCTATGGAGGGCAAATGAGATAAGCAGTATTCTTTTAAGAAAGTTAGCCTAGTCAGGCTTATTTCTGACCTTATTGGGATATATTATATCATGGTCAGTCAACTTAATAGAGAGGATATGATTTAACACAGGATTTAATTTTTATTCTTATGATACATAATGAAAAAAGACTTTACCTGCAACATCTTGAATTGCTTTCTCTGTAAATGCTTAGTTTTGAAATTTTCATTGAATTAGCACAACAGAAAAGTCAACTACTATTGTCTTCACTAGTCTCCCATATGGATTTGTTTTCCTGCAAGCACATACACAGACCTACATAGACACACACACACACACACACACACACACACACACACGGCAGCACTGTCCAAACACAAGATGAAAGGAGATACTGGTACACCAAGAAAAGTAATTGGTACATTATGTCATAGTGAGCTTACTCCATAACTCTTGCTAACTAGTGGGAGACAAATACAGTATGCAGTGAAATACTCAAAATTTATCTAAAGAAAAATCCCTTCCAAAATGGAATACTTACATCAATATTAAAGTATGATAAAATATTTTGCATTTACTCTGAATATTTTTAGTAAACCTTCAAAGAATATAACTAGAGATTTTATTGACATATTTAATGTAAATGTACAGTGGTAGAGGATAATTTCTAGAAGAGATAAAAATCTTAGATTTTACTATTAGCTAAATTCATCTCAGATATTTATATCCATAATGCTTAACATGAAATACCCTGATTTTTTTAGAAATCTTAAAGCAAACTCATGTGTAATTGCAGGTGAAATAAAGCTAAATTAAATTATAAATGTATTATTATATTAAAAAGGTTAAACTTCTCTGCAAGTTACATAGGAACTTTTCAAGTTGTTTTCTATAGATACATTAGTATAATTTAGAAATTTTATATCAGCTTAATTTTTCAGAAAGTTTTCAAGAAAACAGGGTAATTCAACAGCTATATCATGATTTTATTATCTAAAAATTTTGCTAAATGTATGATGCTGAAGAAAAGCAAAAATGCAATCTCAAAAAAAGTATTGAGCCCTAAATATTAATCTCAGATTTATGTGCTAACTGAAAAACTCTATTCCCCTTTCCATGACTTGCACTTTTCTGTCCAACTTGTATAGAAATTGGGAAAATATTGAAAGAAAATAAAATCTTTCTACCAAAAAGACACATACACTTGTATGTTCACTGAAGCATGTAGATGATTAGTGATTGAACAATATAAGTATTTTTAGAGACGTTGTAAAACACTATGAAATAAAGATCTTCTTTATATTCCTCGTTTCAGGAAACTTTGTATCCCACTGTTACTAAGTAATCAATGTATGTTTTTGGCATTTCTAAATAATCAATGTATGGTTTTAGTATTTAATTTTGGGCTTACCCACTGCCATCTTCCCATTTCTTATTTGTTCTTATTAATTTATAATCCAAAGCATGGGTTTCTACATCTCTTTAACTGCCTTGAAAATACGTTTTTATATTATTTTTTTACAGTAACATTTTATAAAATAAAGTGAATTTCTTCCCATAGAACTGCACTGTAGAGGCCAGGAGCAGTGGCTCACGCCTGTAATCCCAGCACTTTGGGAGGCCAAGGCAGGAGGATCGCCTGAGGTCGGGAGTTCGAGACCCACCTGGCCAGCACTGTGAAACCCCGTCTCTACTAAAAATACAAAAAAAAAAAAAAAATTAGCCGGGCGTCGTGGTGGGCGCCTGTAATCCCAGCTCAAAGTTTCACCCTCAGAGGGAACCGAGACTCGGAAAGTAATAGAGAAATTGGCCCACTTTGTGGCAGAAGAAGGCCCCGCGATAGAAAAAAGTAGCTATAGAGGACTACAAGGAAAACCCGGCATTTGCATTTTTGCAGGATAAGAATAGCAGAGAATTTCTCTACTACAGAAAGAAGGTGGCTGAGATAAGAAAGGAAGCACAGAAGTCGCAGGCAGCCTCTCAAAAAGTTTCACTCCCAGAGGATGAAGAGGTCAAGAACCTTGCAGGGAAGTTGGCCAGGTTCGTAGTAGACTGGCATCCGGAGGTGGAAACCATCGCCCTCCAGAACAACTGTGAGAACCAGGCATTCAGCTTTCTGTACGAGACTAACAGCCAAGGATACAAGTACTACCGATAGAAGCGGGAGGAGTTCCGGAAAGCCAAGGCCGGCTCCACAGGCAGCCTCAGGGCACCCGACCCCGGCCTGAAGCCCAAGTCCCCTCCTGAGGCCCTGTTAGGGTCTTGCCTCCGGCCACCACTTGTCCCATCTCGTCCCCGCCTGCGCCTCCCGCCCCCCGTTCTCCGTCATCCCTGCTCCAGCCGCTCCAGGGAAGCCAGCCTCGGCAGCCACCGTGAAGAGGAAGCGGAAGAGCCGGTGGAGGCCAGAAGAGAATAAGGCAGAACTCCCACCTGCTGAGCTGGTGCAGAGGGACGTGGACGCCTCTCCCTCGCCTCTGTCAGTTCAGGACCGCAAGGGGTTCGGCTATAAGAAGGGGAAGCCCGTGGGTCTAGTGGGCGTCACGGAGCTGTCGGACGCCCAGAAGCAGCAGCCGAAGGAGCAGCAGGAGATGCAGCAGATATACGACATGATCATGCAGCACAAGCGGGCCATGCAGGACATGCAGCACCAGCACGGCTACCACAGCGACGAGGAGGTGGACAGCGAGCTGGGCACCTGGAAGCACCAGCTGCGGCGCATGGAGATGGACAAGACCAGGAAATGGGCCAAGCAGCTGACAAAGGTGGGCTAGGGCAAGCATTTCATGGGAGACTTCCTGCCTCCCGACGAGCTGGAGAAGTTCTGGAAATCCTCAAGGCCCTGAAGGAGAGCCGTGAGCCTGACTACTCGGAGTACAAGGAGTTCAGGCTGACTGTGGAGAACACTGGCTATCAGATGCTGATGAAGATGGGCTGGAAGGAAGGCGAGGGGCTGGGCTCGGAGGGCCAGGGCATCAAGAACCCAGTCAACAAGGCCACCACCACAGTGGAAGGTGCCGGCTTCAGCATTGACCGGCTGGCCGAGTTCTCCAAGGAGGACGACGAGTACGAGGCCTTCCGCAAGAAGATGATGCTGGCCTACCGCTTCCGGCCCAACCCCCTGAACAATCCCAGACGGCCTTACTACTGAGCGTTCTGGAAACAGGTATGAGAACCGTGCTGTGTAATAAAGTCCCCGTGCTCATTGAAAAAAAAAAAAAAAAATTGGAATGGGTGGAGGAAGACATTGAGGATTTAACTTTTTAATACTTATTATTTGCATATTCTACATGACAACTTCTCCATTGCTCACAAACTCCCAAAAATCTCTCTTCTCCCTCCTTACCCAGGAAAAAAAGGAATCCCAGAACTCAAGGACACAAACTCAATGCTACCCTGACGCAAATGGAGAGTGAAAGAAAATAACACTCTATCCATTTTCTGGTGCTATGGCAAAATAAAAACTAGACAGTTATTAAATTTCTCAATACGTTATTCTGCCACATTTAATTCTTAGTAAATCAGACTGCCACATCACGCACAGAAATAGATTTTGCTTTAACTCTCTATTGAATGCATGGAAGGTTTGTGCTTGGTGGAAAGCAGGGAAAATGGAAGGCAAAGAGTGTCTTGTTCAGTAAAATATATATTAATAGACATTCCCTTGTGTACTATAGAAAAAGTGAGTGAAATACTTATAAAGGCTGTTTCTGATACCTCTAGAGCACTGAGTTTTTATTCTGAGCTAATATAATGACCATGAAAGCCTAGCATTTATCCTCACACTCACACAAAATTGATCCCCAATTTTATATTTATTTTAACACATCACTCTGGATTACACCTTCATAGAACAGAATGTTTTTATACATGAGAGGAATGGTCTCTTTTCTGCAATTTTGTAATGTTTGCTCTCCGCAACTCCCACCCCCTCCCTTTTATATATTATAGAGAAATTTTGGTTCTATGAATGAAATATCTGGGCTCATTACATAAAATGGGTCTTTCCCAGTTTTTTTATTGAAAATTTGAGGACAATAGACAACGAGACTTGCCACATTATAAAACAAATATGTAACTTCCAGAGTCCTCCCACCCCAGACTCCACCTCCTTTTTTAGAGGGAAGATAAGCCAAACTAGTGTTTCAATCTTCACTCCTACCAATCCAGCCATATAAGCAGAAAATGGAGAGCACTGGAGGAAGAAACTGAGTCTGTTCATGCTCAGCTCACTAGGATAACTGAAAGGAGCTCCATCTCAGAGAGATTAGAGATGTTTACTAAAGAGAAATTGACATTAATCACTTCTGGTTGGATGTTTCAAAAGCTGTAGAAACCCTTAGGCCCATCCCAGAACTGCCACTGGATGGGAATATGGTAAAAATATTCTTGAGAAACTGACATTTGTCTTTAGTTGTTTGAATATATATATGAATATATGTATATACTCATATATATGAATTTTCATTCATATATATGAATATATATACACACTATATATATGTGTATATATATGTATACTCAGTGTTTACAGCCTGTTTTCCTTCTGAGGAATTTTGAAGACTGTTAGTCTCCTGGGTGAGCCATGATTAGTAGGGCAAGCAGAAAGGGAAGCAGAGACAAAGGCCCAGCTGCATTAATTTATAGGTTAAGAGATGCCATAAAAGTAGCTCTGCCAAGTCAGGATACACACTGTACAGTATGTATACCCTGAGGAAGGCAGCTTCAAAAGAGTCCACCAATACACCCCATGAAAAGACAACATTCTGATGCCAGCCAATAGAATGGGAATGCTAGTGGAAACGTACTAGTATTCTCTGTTTGCCTACACCAAAAGGATCTTATCAGAGTGGCTATGTCTGCCATGGAATAGTTGTGGAATACAGTGTGAATTCTAAGAAACAAACAAACAATAGCAAGAATCTAGAATATTCCCAACACTTTTGAAAAACTAAGCGGATTTTTTTAAATCAATGTATTTGGTGTAGAACAGCTAGAACACTTTTTTTAAAAAAATATTAGTTTCTATTAAAATAATGTTGATAGCATTTTTTGTAAAAGCACATAAAGTGGTAAATTAGTGATTTTTGAAGACTATTATTTCACATATTTACTGGAAAAATCATGCATTTGTTCCAATGGTCAGCCAAAAATATTTATCATTTAAATGCTTAGAAACTGCAAAATAAGAATGAAGGTTTGTTGTTTGACCTTTTGTTTCAGTTGCCTAGATTATTGGCTATGTTTTCAAATTATCCTTTTAATGTTTAAAGTATAGCTCTAGTTTTAAGTATATTAAATTTTGTATTTTTCTGATTAGAAATTCTAATAAATGTGTAAATTGTATCTTTTTTTAATTTTATATTTTATTATTATTATCCTTTAAGTTTTAGGGTGTAAATTGTATCTTTTTAACATTTATATTAGTATTTTTGTAGTTTTGTATTTTAGTGAATTTTTATTACCATCAAACTGAACACTTTATTTTACAATATAATTAATTTTTAGTAAGTACTTAAGATCCATGCTTATTTTAAACACCTTGAAACATGTGAAAACATTTTTTTAAGTTGTTCAGTACCTACACATTTCAGTGACCTGTTTTCATGTGCAGTAAATAAACTTGAATTAACACAATTTACAGTGGTTATTTAAGATTACAAATAGGTGGAAGGAGAAAACAAAGAATATTAGCTTGTTAGAAGATAAAGTTTTTCAAAAGCAGAAATGTCAATTCAACTCAAAATATTTTTACAAGTGTAGATTTTGCATAGCATGGAGTCTATGACAGTTCAGTATATTTCCAGGTTCAGTAGGGCTTCCTGGTATAACCAATAATACCATGGCTATGATGGGTCTCTGACATCTGTAGAGAATCACTCCTCCATTCAGATTTATGTAAAGTCTGTTGAGTTCTAAAATATTATTTAGGAATGGCTTAATGTCTATCTACTATTTCTTAAGTTTTTGTAGAGCTTATAAAGTATAGAAGGGTAATGGATGATATTTCCTAGTAGAAAATCTTAAATTGGGCACCAATGTTAAATGGTTCAAAGTAAACAGTGTTCTGTCGGGGGAACTCACTCCCAATATTTCAACATAGGTTCTTTCTATTTTCCATAAGTGTCGGCCAGCTGAGAAATAAAGAGAGACAGTACAAAGAGAGGAATTTTACAGCTGGGCCACCAGGGGTGACATCACATATTGGTAGGACCATGATGCCAACCTGAGTCTCAGACCAGCAAGTTTTTATTAAGGGTTTCAAAAGGGGAGGGGGTGTAAGAACAGAGAGTAGGTACAAAGATCACATGCTTCAAAGAGCAAAAAGCAGAACCACTGATAAGGGTCTAATAAAGATCACATGCTTCTGAGGGAACAAGGCAAAGGGCAAAAGCGAACCACTGATAAGGGTCCAACAAAGATCACGGGGCAAAGGGCAAAAGCAGAACCACTGATATGGGTCTATGTTCAGCAGTGCACGTATTGTCTTGATAAACATCTTAAACAACAGAAAACAGGGTTCAAGAGCAGAGAACCGGTCTGACCACATATTTACCAGTGCTGAGTTTTCCCAACCCTAGTAAGCCTGAGGGTTCTACAGGAGACCAGGGCTTATTTCAGTCCTTATCTCAACTGCACAAGACAGACATTCCCAGAGCTGCCATTTATAGACCTCCCCACAGGAACTCCTTCTTTTCCCAGGATATTAATATTAATATTCCTTGCTAGGAAAAGAATTTTGTGACATATTTCCTACTTGCACATCTGTTTATAGGCTCTCTGCAAGAAGAAAAATATGGCTCTTTTTGCCCAACCCCGCAGGCAGTCAGACCTTATGGTTGTCTTCCCTTGTTCCATAAAAATTGCTATTATTCTGTTCTTTTTCAAGGTGCCTTGATTTCATATTGTTCCAACACACATGTTTTACAATCAATTTGTACAGTTAACACAATTATCACAGTGGTCCTGAGGTGATGTACATCCTCAGTTTATGAAGATAACAGGATTAAGAGATTAAAGACAGGCATAAGAAATTATAAAAGTATTATTTAAGAACTGATAAATGTCCATATCAAGATGAAATCTTCACAATTTATGTTCCTCTGCCATGGCTCCAGCCGGTCCCTCCATTCAGGGTCCCTGACTTCCCATAACAGTGTTCTTGAAAAGCAAATAGATAAAAGTATTATTTAATCCAAACAAGTAAAAATTATTATCCTAGACTGGGCTTTTAGCTGTAAGTATGTAGGAAAACCATATTAAGTATATATACCTCAGGGGGTAAACATCTTTTTCTGATACATGGCACGAAAAAAAATTTGGTGACAAAATTTAAGCAAGTTGAACATATGTAGAATTTTTACTGAAGAAACTTTAAAAATCTGACTTATTGATATGTCGCCCAAACAAGATGGGTGTTACACAATTTATTTTGAAGATATTGCCCTTAAACTGCCCTCAATTAAAATAAAAGTGAAAATCTATTATCTTTGAATTATTTTCTATAAAAATTGACCAAATCAAATCACTTTTTTATTTCATGCCTAAGCTTTTTTCTGTTCAGTTTCCATAGTTAATTTAGGTCTTTTATTGTTTTGGTTACTTCTGTCCTTTCTTTCCTTCATGCTTTATTCCATTTTGTTGATTGGGAAAATACCACTTTTATAAGCCACTATTTCTGTGTGCCTCGTACATGCTGGCAGATAATACTAATTTTATAAGTAGATGCTAAACCCTAGGACTAACTTAGTTTCAAAATCTGTAACATTTTACTTGGAATCCTTTGAAACATTTTTTACTAATTAATTAAGTTACATTTAAGCATATTAAAAAAGGAAAGGAAAATTGTTTTTAGAATAAATGAATAGCTCATGACAATCTGCTGGAAATTTATTAGGTATTGTCTGAAAACATGGTTGAGCTTGAAAGAGAGCATATTCATAAGCATTTTAAGAACAAATTCATATGGATTGTGTTATATTTGAACAAGTATAACACTTATAATCTATATCTAAAAATTCATGGCCTAGATTGAAAAGTTGGTATCTGTTATGAACTGAAAGTTTGTGTCACCTCCTCCATTCACATCAACAAATTCATGGGTTGAAACCCTAGCCCCACCCTCTGCACTGTGAGGCTGTATTTGGAGATGGCAACTCTAAGGAAGTAATTAAGGTTAAATGAGGCCATAGGGTGGGGAGTAATGGTAATATGTGACAAGAGTAATGCCCTTATAAGAAGGAATCCCAGAGCTCACTCACTTCTGTTCTCTCTCTCTCTCTCTCTCTTTATTTTCTCTCTCTCTACCATTCCTTCTCATGCATATACCAAGGAAAGCCCATGTGTGGACATAGGAAGAAAGTGTCAATCTTCAAGTGAAGAGGAGAGCTCTCACAAGAAACTAAATCAGCTGGAACTTTGATCTTGGACTTCCAGCCATCAGAACTGAGAGAAAATTAATTTTGTTGTTTAAGCAGTCTATATTTCTTATGGTACCCCAAGCAGGCTAACACAATATTCAAAGAAGGCATTCAATTCAGTTCAATGCAATTCAGTTCAAATATTTATTTTGAGGCTGCTATATGCCAGATACTGTTCTACTTTTCTAGTTATTAGGAAAGTTCGATCAGGGTGGGGACAGATAGAAGTCAGTGGCTTCACAGTGGTTATATTCTAATGAGATAAAGCAGAGTAAAACTAAAATAAAGTATGTGTGTTATGGGGAAAACTAAAGCAGGAAAGGGAAGTAAGGAGTGCTGCAAGTTAAAATAACATAGTCATGATGGGGCATCCATATTTAGAAACTTATATTTGAGCAAAGACTTAAAGTGGATGGAGATGCTAGCTTGTACATATGTGGAAGAGAAGCACCATAGGCAGAGAGAAGAGCAAGTGCAACGGCCATGGGGTAGGAATCTAATTGGCAAGCTCAAAATTTAGGCAAGGAAGCCAGTATGGCAAACATGCTATGTAAGAGAAGTTAACAGGAGTAAACATCAAAGAAGTAAGGAACATATATGTGGGAATTTTCCAAATTTCATAAATAAAGGGAGCGATATGAGATGGCATTGTAAATTTTCTTAGAAAAGAAGAAACATAGTCCAGATATGTTTTACAAGTGATCATTCTGGCTACAGTATTAAGCATATATTCCAGAGGAAGAGATAAAAACTTGAGGTGCTGTTTTAAAGGCTTTTGCTATTAGAAACCTTGGACCAGAGAGGAAGTAGTGGATGGGTAAGTAAATGTCTGATTTTCTGTATATATATTTGAAGGGCAGCCAGCATGTGAATTTAATGTGATATATGAGACAGAGAAGGTAAAAAGAGACACCTGGGCCTATGCAACTAGAGGAGTTGTGGAAGACTGTATTAGGCAAAATGGGGTGGCAAAATTGAGTGGAGGAGATCAAGTTTGAGATGTCTGTTAACTATCCAAATGGATTTGGTAGGTAGGTGTATTAGTCCATTCTCATGCTGCTATAGGACATACCCAAGACTGGGTATTTATAAAGGAAAGAGGATTAACTGATAACACAGTTCTGCAGGGCTGGGAAGGCCTCAGGAAACTTACAGTCACGGCAGAAGGAGAAGCAAATATGTCCTTTTTTACATGGTGGCAGGATAAAGAAGGATTAGTGCCCAATGAAGGGGGATGCCCCTTATAAAACCATCAGATCTTGTGAGAACTAACTCACTATAAAGAGAACACGATGGGGGAAACTACTCCATGATTCAATTATCTCCATCTGGTCCCTCCCACAACATGTGGGGATTATGGGAACTACAATTCAAAATGAGATTTGGGTGGGGATACAGTCAAACCATACCAATCCGCCCCTGTTCCCTTCCAAATCTCACGTCCTCACACTTCAAAACACAATTATGCCCTTCCAACAGTTCCCAAAGTCTTAACTCATTCCGGCCTTTACTCAAAAGTCTAAGTCCAAAGTCTCATCTGAGACAAGGAAAGTCTCTTCTGCTTATGAGCCTGTATAATTAAAAGCAAGTTAACTACTTGCTAAATACAATGGGGGTACAGGAATTGGGTAAATACACCTGTTCCAAATGGGAGAAATTGGCCAAAACAAAGGGGCTACAGGCCCCATGCAAGTCCAAAATCCAGTAGGGCACTCATTAAAATTTAAAGTTCCAAAATGATCTCCTTTGACTCCATGTCTTACATCCAAGACGTGCTGATGCAAGAGGTGGGCTCCCACAGCCTTGGGGAGCTCCACCCCTGCGGCTTTGCAAGTTATAGCTCCCCTCTAGGCTGCTTTCACGGCTGGGGTTAAGTGTCTGTGGCTTTTCCAGGTGCGTGTTGCAAGCTGTTGGTGAATCTACCATTCTGGGGTATGGAGGATGATGGGCCTCTTCTCCAGCTCCACTAGGCAATGCCCCAGTGGAGACTCAGTGCAGAGGCTCCAACCCCACATTTCCCTTCTGCACTGCCCTAGCAGAAGTTCTCCATAAGGGCTCTGCTCCTTCACTCCTGCTTTGACATCCAGGCATTTCCATATAACCTCTGAAATCTAGGCAGAGGTTCCCAAACCTCAATTCCTGTCTTCTGCCCACCTGCAGGCCCAACACCATGTGGAATCTGCCAAGGCTTAGGGCTTGCACCCTGTGAAGCAATGGCCTGAGCTGTACTTAGTCCTTTTAGCCATGGCTGGAGCTGAAGCAGCTGGGGTGCAGGGCACCAAGTCCTGAGGTTGCACACAACAGGGGCACCCTGGGCCTGACCCATAGAGCCATTTTTCCTTTGCAGGCCTCCAGGCTTGTGATGGGAGGGGCTGCAGTGAAGGTCTCTGACATACCCTGGAGATATTTTCCCCATTATCTTGGTTATTAACATTTGATGCCTCATTACATATGCAAAGTTCAGCAGCAGACTTGAATTTCTCCCCAGAAAATGGGGTTTCCTCTTCTATTGCTTCATCAGGCTGCAAATTTTCCAAACTTTTATGATCTGCTTCCTCTTGAACACTTTGCTGCTTAGAAATTTCTTCCACCAGGTACCCTAAATCACCTCTCTCAAATTCAAAGTTCCACATGTCTCTAGGGCAGGGGCAAAATGCCTCCGATCTACTTTACTCCAGTTCCCAAGAAGTTCCTCATCTCCATCTGAGACCACCTCAGCCTGAACTTCATGGCCCGTATCACTGTAAGCATTTTGGTCAACGCCATTCAACAAGTCTCCAGGAAGTTCCAAACTTTCCCACATTTTCCTGTCTTCTTCTGAGCCCTCCAAATTGTTCCAACCTCAGTCTACTATTCAATTCCAAAGTCACTTCTACATTTTTGGGTATCTTTACAGCAGCACTCCATCACCCGGCACCAATTTACTGTATTAGTCTGTTCTCACGCTTCTATAAGGGTATACCTGAGACTGGGTAATTTGTAAAGGAAAGAGGTTTAATTGACTCACAGTTTGGCAGGGCTGGGAAGGCCTTAGGAAACTTACAATCATGGCAGAAGGGAGAGCAAACACATCCTTCTTCACATGGTGGCAGAGAGGAGAATGAGTGTCCAGCAAAGGGGGAAGCCCCTTATAAAACCATCAGATCTCATGAGAACTAGCTCAATATCCTAAGAGCAGGATAGGGGAAACTGCCCCCTGTGATTCAATTATCTCCACCTGGTGTCTTCCACGATGTGGAGATTATGGCAACTACAATTCAAGACGATGTTTGGGCTGAGACACAGCCAAACCATATCAGTAGGCAATTGGATCTGCAAGTATTGTATTCATAGTAGATGTAAATGTGGGAGTCTTCTACATGAAGCCTTCATGAGATTATCATGGAGTAAGTATAGACAAAGGAGAAAGGCCAGTGGTCCTCGACACTCTCTATATTAAAGAGTTGAAGATATAAAGAGAAACTAGCAAGTGTGGATGAAGAGGTGTGGTCAGTAATTGAAGAAGGAAAACATCAGTGGTGGTGTGTGGCCTTGACAGCTAGACAGTAAAAAGTTCTTGTAGGGAGGGAGTAATCAATTGTGTCAAACAGAGCTGCAATTTGATGAGAACTGATAAATAACATTGAATTTAGCCATAGTGGTAGTTGATGGCCTTGTCAAGAATATTTTCAGTGTTTGGGGGAAAATCTGACTGGAGTTGATTTAAGGGAAAAAATCAGAGGATAAAGATTGAAGAGTTAAAGGATTTATAGAACAACATGGGAATATGATACTAGAACAGGTAATAATTCTTAGCTCTTTATGCATTATATCGCAGTTCATTAAATTCTTATGGAAATTCCTAAGGCAGAGACACTTACTTCTCTTAAAATAGAATAGTGACTTGATAGGTGAAATATCATGCCGCAGTGAAAAGTTAGAACTGCAAGGATTACACACAAATGACATTTGTCTGATGCCTGACTCTCACATTCCAGGAGAACAGAAAATAAAAATATTACTTACAAAATGCCATTTGAGTTCATTTTCAAAGAATGAAAAGTGGGGAGAGAATATGCTAAGTATAGATAGTGATGAGATAGGAAAAAGTAGTGAAAATGGTTCTGAATATGTCTTGGGTTTTTTTCCAGATTAACTTTCTTTTTTGCTTGATTTTCTTTAGATCTGTTTTAATTTTCTGTAGATTTCTGACTATGAGCTTACAATAATTTACATAGTCTATGCAATCATTCTAAGGAAAAAAAAAGCTCAGAAAAGAAGAATTTGATTACACTGAGAGATAAAAGACTTGTAGGAACAAGCTAAAAATAAAATTTAAAATGTAATATCAATTGAAAACAGATAACTTTAACTATTCTCCATTAAATACTTATTGAATTATTTTCTTGTTTTGTGTATTTAGCAATTTAATATTAACATTGGTATAAGCATGAACCTGAAATAATGTAACAGGTTTATAAATTTATATATATGCTAAGATATGTTCATATGTAGCATACATCATTCTGCAAATATGTGAAACAAATTTGTTTATTAATTACTAATAAAAATTTATTTTGAGAAATAATGCTTTTTAAAGTTTATATGTTCATTAAAACTACACTCTATTGACCAGACTGGAGCACCTTAAATTTTTTTTTATATCTTCTGAGTATGTGTACATTTTAAGAATTTCTCTCAATTACATACAATTTCTTTACAGTTAATTGGAGTTGATTTGCAATCGCTGTCTTATAATCATATTTTTAAATGACCATTTTCATTATTTGAAGCAAAGTACATTTTAAAGTATTTGGTTTACTTAATGACTTGTTAATTTTCCTACCTGTCTGAATCTTTTCTTGTAGGATAGTGCATAATCATCAGATCTAGTACTTAAGAAATTCTACTTGAAAATTAACAATTTATTTTGTATAACAGACAACTACTATTCTTAAAGATAAGTTTTAAAACAACATATTATGTATTTTTGTTACAATAAAATAAAATTATTGGGTTGGATTTGTAAGGAACAATTGTTCATTTAGTGGAGGATGGTGAAAGCATCTACAAATTTGAAGGCCCACCCAGTCTAGACTAATCTAACTGTCCTGCTGAGTAACCCAATGCTTCCCTGCGAAAACCTGCTGCTCTCACAGGGACCTGTGAAAGGTGCAAACATCTCACCTTATCCAGCCTATGTATTTGCCCCTGCTCATCTTTTTTGAACTATCTACTCACATGCTTTCCATGTTCAAATTCACCTTACCCAATAAGGCCCAGTTCCATTGTCACCTTCTTTCTCATCTATCCCTGGCCTTTTGCAATGAAGGAATATCCATTGCCTAAACTGAATTGAATTTTGCATATAATCTCTCAAGGGACATTTACTAGTTTCTACATTTTTAGTTATTTATGTATTTACCTCATTGCTCTTAACTTCATGTCTTCGTGGTTTCATTAACAATTTTATTATACCATCGTTGTCAAATCTGGAATAATTTCAACTGACTTCCTGGTGACTTAGAATAAATTTTGATTAAATTTTAAGTGAAGGAATTTGTGTGTTATTTTGTCAAAGCCCTTGAATATCTGAAAACATCTTTTTGTTGACATCACAGATGACCATATAAAAGGCGGACCATAATAAATCTAATGGTATCTAGTCCTTAACGTGTTTTATTTAGTGAAAAATTTATAACTAATTAATCGTTTTATCCTAAATAGTAATCATGTCTATTACCTCGTACCCACTGTCAACTTTTAAAATGACAATTTTGTAATTGCATGGCATAATTTATTTATCCCCTTGGCACATATTTCTCAGCTCCAAACTTTATCTAAAGGCCTATTTGACAGCTTCCCATGTGACACCTGTCACAGAAACTTTTCACCAATGCTACTCCTTCCATAGTCATCCTGCCTTCGGAGAGACTGCACCATCTCTGTGCAGTCTCTCTGGACATAAGCATGGAAGCTATTTGGAAAAAGCTGAGTAAGTTAACATTTTAGTCCAAAGATGATAGAAAATTTTTGTAAAAGGGGTATTTTCAAATGTTAACAAAATATGTTAATCTATGTATTAGTACATGTTTACATAAAAAAAGAACACTTGAAAATAATACATTTTCTTATTACAAAATGAGGTCCAAATCTTCAAAATCAGAGAGATTCATGATTAACATTGCTAGTCTTTTTTAAAAAAAGAGGTAAACAATCATATAGAGAGATGCATAGCACAATATACAGAAATAAATGTTGGTATAAAACATATTTTTGAATTTTTTTTGCCTGTTTTTTGTCATGTCATTTTCATATTTCTGTTTACATTATTTATATGTGCATAGAGACATTATAATTTAACAGTTTCACACTTGATAGGCATTTAGGCATTTCCAATTATTTCGCTATCAGAAGAAATGATAAACAAAATAACATACAGATTATAATATTTCAATACTTAAATAATTTATTCCGTCAAAAAATACTTATTTAGCCTCAACTTTTCTGATACAAAGTTGATGAAAACCTCTATAGAATGTTGAAAAATACATTTAGGCTACCATACCACTATTGATAAATGAACAACATTCTTAACATGCATTCATAAGCAACTTTGAACGAAGAACTGAAGAAAGGGAGTGAGCCATGTAAAGAGCTGTGCAGGGGGAGGTGTTGGACAGGGAAAGAAGTATTCTGTTTTGTACAGTGTATTTTAGGATGTTTTTGTTTCCAGGTGAATATGTTACTTGGAAGAGTGATATATGATCCTGAATAATAGAGGAAAATGTGAAGTCATCAACTTATAAATGTAATTTTTAAAATGCATTTTAAAAGAGATTAGAGAAAAATAAGTGTGAGTATTGAGCTCTAAGAAATGTGAAAACATAAAATTCTAGATGAGGAGCATCTAGCTAATAACATAAAGAAGGAAGTGTGACACAAAAAGAGATGCCTTTTTCCCTTTCTCAATTATCTAAAAGAAATATGAGATTATCTCCTTCATAACTGTATGTTGCAGCTTAATATTTATGAATTTGTGGTTAATTTTATTATTTATAGAATTTTATTAATTTTATTTTATTTTTATATTATTGCCAAAATTCAGTATATTTTTTAATTAAAAAAAATACAGAGGTAGCAATGTCACCAAGATGGTAGAGTAGGAGATACCAGTCTGCACCCCACCAACAAAAATTAAACATAGACAACTATCCACAAACCAAAATATCCACAAACAAAAACCTCATAGGACTCAACAGCTTATTAAAGGCCCTGCAGCAACATAATGGTGCAAACAAACAAACAAGCAAAAACAAAATGGAGAATATTCACACAGAAATGCTCTCTGGTGAGACAGCATACCCAGAAGGAGACTGCTAGGCACAAAGAATCAAGATGGAGGCAATGAGTATCAGCACCGTGGTGCAAACCCATGTGGTTCCCCACGGCCTGCTCTGCAGAAGACACAAGCATCTTTTGCCATTGAGGTAACAAACAGCCTTAACTTCTGGGGAACCCCATAGAGGGACACACGGCAGCACATTCCTGCCACCCAAGATGTGGCAACTGTTGAGCCACTATGGGAAAAGAGCTTCCACTTCTCCCAACACCACATGCACCCTGACCCCAAAGCCATGGCCACTCTTCAAGTGCCCACACATCAGACCTGTGCTCTGTGGCTTCACTGTGCCTTTCCACTGGAGCCATCACCATAATGAGCTAGTTCACACTCTGGGCCAAGGTCTCACTGACCATGCCCCTGCTTCAGGAACTGGCTTAGTTGTCTTGGAGAGCTAGGCCCCACCCTCACCCTGGAGCTGCTCTTAACTCTGTGCAAGCCTATGCTCCCATTCTCAGATCCCCAGCTACTTCACAAGCATTACAGCCTTGCATACTGTTACCAACCTGGTAGTGGGAGTTCCTGAGCCTGAGGCATCATTGCTATTACTGCCCTAGATTGCAGAGCCACAGTCCCTCCACATGTGCTCATGTGTCAGGTCTTAGCTTTATGGCTGTTCTGCAGATACCATTCATCGGGCACTGGTGCTACTACTACCACCATAAATGGGCCTGCAAGCCAGAGCCAGTGACAAGGGGGATTCCCTCAGCCACAACTTGCCTGATAGGAGAAAAAAAAAAAGTGGGAGGACCTTAGCAGCCATCACCGCTGAAGACCCAACAACTCTTGCCACCACTGCAGATATGCATATTATTGGCAACTGAGGATCCCTGCAATTTTTGTTAAGACTGACCTTAGCTAAAAGAGCTGCACAGAGACTTCACAGCACAGCTGCACCCTCACAGGTACCAGAACAATTGCATTCCAACCAATAAGCACCCTTGCAACACCACCCCCATCCACGGAAGAAAGCCTTTCCTAGAGAAACTAGCCCATAAAGTCTAAAGAAGATGACTGTTTTTTCAAATGTGCAGACATCAATTTAAGGCAACAAGAAACATTTACAAGAAAAGATGACGTAACACCACCAAAAGGACACAATAATTTCTCCCAAAGAAACTAGAGATAAATAAAGAATTAAAAATAATTATTTCAAAGAATCTTAGCAAACTTTAATAAAATAGAGAGAAACAATTCAGTCAAATAAGGAAAACAGTAAGTGACCAAACTAAGAAATTTAGCAGAAATAGAAATTATTTAAAAACAAATTAAACAGAAATTCTAGAGCTAAAATGTACTATAAAATAAAAAATGTAATAGAGAGTCAACAGCAGAATTGGTCAAGCAGAAGGAAGAACTTATGAACTTGAAGACAGGTTATTTGAAATTAAACAGAAGCGAAAACAACAATAAAAACAAGAAAAGTAATGAAGAAAACTTATAGGATTTATAACACAGCATCAAAACAGCAAATTTTTTTTTTATTATAGGAGTTTGCAAAAAAAAGAGAGAGACAAATGGGAAGAAAACTTATTTAAAGAAATAGAGGCAGAAAACTTTCGAAATCTGAGGAAAGATGTAAATATTCAGATACAGAAAGGTTTTCAAAGGTCTCCAATCAGACAACCCAAATAAGACTATCTTGAGACATATTATAATTAAATTGTCAAAAATCAAAGACAGAGAGACGACCCTGAAAGCATCAAAAAAATCAAATCACATATGAGGAAATTCCAATAAGACTAGCAGCAGATTTTTCAACAGAAACCTTACGGGCCAGGAGAAAGTGGGGTGATATATTCAAAGTGCTTAAGGAAAAAAGAAAAAGAAAAAACTGTCAACTAAAATACTTTACCTCGCAAAGCTGTCATACAGAAAAGGAGACATAAAGACTCTCCAAAACAAAGAAAAGTTGAGGGAGGTCCTTACCACCACAACTGTCTTACAAGAAATGCTGAACGGAATTCTTCAATCTGAAAGAACAGGACGCTTCTTTCATGTTACATATGAAACATAGGAAACATGAAAACATATGAAGGTACAAAATTCATTGGTAAAAGTATGTACTGTAATGATAGTATGTAAATTACTTATATATAATTTAGTATGAAGATTAAAAGAAATTACTAAAAATAATAGCTGAAATAATTTGCTAAGAGATATATAACATAAAAGGGATGGAAATTGTGACATCAAGAAGTAGATGGGGGAGTGAAGTGCAGAGGAGTTGTTTTATGTGATCAAAGTTAAGTTGTTATCAGTTTAAAATAACTTATTATAACTATGATGTTTTATGTAAGCCTCATGATAACCATAAAGCAAAAACCTTTGGTAGACATACAAAAGATTAAAAATAAGAATTAAAAGCATGCTACCAGAGGAAAAAAAATCTAATCACAAAGGTACTTAATAAAAGGAAGAAAGGAACAAAGATCTATGAAACAGCCGAAAGGCAATTAACAAAATGTCAACAGTTAAGTCCCTACCTATTGATAATTACCTTGAATGTAAACTGACAAAATTCTTCAATCAAAAAGCAAAGAATGACCAAATGGATAAAAAAATATATAACACTCATCTAAAAAAAAAATACAACACATCATCTATAAGAGATTTATGTCACCTTTAAGGATACAGATACATTGAAAGTAAAAGGATGGAAAATATATTTCATCCAAATAGAAACAAAAAGAGAGCTAGGATAGCTATATTTGTCTGAGATAAAAATAGATTTTAAGCCAAAAACTGTAAACAATAAAGAAAGTCATAATTATAAAGTGAACAACTCCTCAAGAAGATATAACAATTTTTTTTTTGTTTGAGACAGTCTCCCTCTGTCACCCAGGCTGGAGTGCAGTGGAGCAATCTCTGCTCACTGCAACCTCCGCCTCTCGGGCTCAAGCGATTCCCCAATCTCAGCCTTCCAAGTGGCTGGGATTACAGGTATCTGCTACCATGACTGGCTAATTTTTGTATTCTCAGTAGAGTCAGGGTTTTGCCATGTTGGCCAGGCTGGTCTCGAACTCCTGACCTCAACTGATCCTCTCACCTTGGCCTCCCAGAGTGCTGGAATTACAGGCATCAGCCACCATGCCCAGCCAATATAGCAACTATTAATATATGCACCCAATATTGGAGAACTTAAATATATAAAGCAAATATTAGTAGATCTAAAGATGAACACAGACTGCAGTTAAATAATAATAGGAGACTTCAGTGCCAATTTTCAATCATGGACAGATCATCCAGACAGAAAATCAGTATGAAAACACTGGATTTGAACTATTCTTCAGAATAAAAATGGACCTAACAGATATATATATAGTACATTCCATCTAATAGTAGCCAAATACACATTCTTCTGAAATATACACTAAACATTCTCATGGATGGATAATATGTCAGACCACAAAACAAGTCAACACATTTAAAAGGATTGAAATCATATCAAGTATCTTTTCTGACCACAATAGTATAAAACTAGAAATACATAAGAGAAATTTCAGAAAAATACCCAAATATGTGAAAATTAAACGATATGATTCCAAACAAACCAATGGATCAAGGAAGAAATTATACAAGAAATTTAAAAATATCTTGAGAGAAAAAAATGGAATATAGGAAAATTTATAAAATTCAGGAATGCATTTCTCAGAGGAAAGTCTGTGGCTATAAATGCTGACATCAAAAAAGAAGAAAGATTCATAATAAACAACCTATACTCTTACACCTCAACAAACTTGAAAAAGAACAAACCCAGAGTTAGTAGAAGAAAGGAAACAATAAAGATCAGAGCAGAAATAAATTAAATAGAAAATTAAAAGATGGTAGAGAAGATCAAAGAAACTAAGAATTGTGTTTTTTAAGGAAAAAAATTAACAAACCTTGAGCTTCTGAGCTTCACTAAGAAAAAAACTCAAGTAAATAAATTCCATTAAAAAACTGTTAGAACTAATAAATATATTTAGTAAAGTTGCAGGATACAAAAGTAACATACAAAATCAGTATTTTTTTACATACTAACAACAAACTATCCAAAAAATTCCATTGTATAGGAGGAATAAGTTCAATAGATATACTCTACCTCATGGTGACTATAGTTAATATCAGTATGTTACATACTTGAAAATTGCCAAGAGAGTAGATTTTAAATGTTCTCACCACAAAAAAAGTGATAAGTATGTGAGGCGTTTAATATGTTAATTAGCTTGATTTAGCCATTGCACAATGTATACATATATAAAAATATATTGTACAACATATTTATACTTTAACTTTTTTACTTATATGTTACAGCTTTTATGTTGATTAATAAAATAATAAAATGTCTGCTTCATTGGTCTTCTCAGACTCATTTAATGTTATATTACTACATATATAAACATTATATATAATATATAGTTTCTTGAGTTTGCTTCTTCACGTTTTTACTTTTTTTCATTACAAAACATGTTTGTATATATTTAACATAATAAAGTAACTTCTACTTGTCATCTTAGCTGTGTCTTAAATGATTTGTTATGTGGTATTTCATTTCAGTTGAGTTCCTAATTTATTTTATTTTTTTCTCTTGAATCATGAAGTATGTGAAACTATAGGATTTTAGTTTTTTCTTTTTTTTTCTTTTTCTTTTCTTTTCTTTTTTTTTTTTTTTTTGAGACACAGTCTCATTCTGTCGCCCCGGCTGGAGTACAGTGGTGTGATCTCAGCTCACACTGCAACCTCTGCCTCCCAGATTCAAGCAATTCTTGCACCAGCCTCCTAAGGGACTGGGATCACAGGCATGCACCACCATGCCCAGCTCATTTTTGTATTTTTAATAGAGACGGGTTTTTGCCATTATGGCCAGGTTGGTCTTAAACTTCTGGTGTGAAGTGGTTGGCCTGACTCAGCATCCCAAAGTGCTGGGATTACAGGCATGAGCCAACACACCTGGCTGTGTTTCTTCTTTTTATAATTAATTTATAATTAAATACCCTTGAAACCAAACAATGAATGAATGAAACATATATATAAACATATATATACATATATATATATACACACACACACACACCCCTGTGTGTGGGCGTGTGATATATCACACACACATAAATATACCATATATAATATGAATTAATACAAATTTGTAAAGACTGGCTTTATTACTTAGTTTAAAGGGTAATTTTTCATACATAATCTATAGTTACTTGAAAAGAGTATGCTTTCTACTGTGGTAGGGTATAGTGTGCCCCTCTCTTTCTCTTCTGTCTCCTCTTTTTGTCTTTCTCTGAAATCCATTAGGATATTTGCTTTATCAATTACTTGCTCTTTTTTTGGGTGTGTTGGCTCAAGCCTGTAACCCCAGCACTTTGGGAGGCTGAGGCGGGCTGATCACTTGAGGTCAGGAGTTCGAGACCAACTGATCAACATGGTGAAACCCCATCTCTACTAAAAATACAAACGTTAGCCAGCCGTGGTGGCACATGCCCCAAATCCCAGCTACTCGGGAGGCTGAGGCAGGAGAATCACTTGAACCCGGGAGGCAGAGGTTGCAGTGAGCCAAGATCACACCATTGCACTCCAGCCTGGGCAACAAGAGCAAAACTCTTGTCTCAAAAAAAAAAAAAAAAAGTGCTCTTTTCCCAAAATTTCTGTATCTATATTAATTTCATATATTCAATTTCTTTAGAACATATTAGAATTCTCTACTATGACTTTAGTTTAATTACTTTTCTTCATATTTTCTCCAACTTTCACATCATGTATTTTGTCTATATAGTAAGGCATATATAATGCCTTAATTTCATATCTTCCTTCATTCAAAGTTATTTCTTTCATCATCATACCTCCAAAATAAATTATTTCCAACATTATCCTTGCCATACTCATGTTCTTAAAATGTATTTCCATTGGTGATTTTGTTTCTTATTTTTTCAATTTTTTAAAAATATTTAATTTAAGCCTGTTTTTTTTTGCAAACACATATAGATGAATTTGATTGTATTTGATTCAATCCACACTGAATTTAACCCAAAGGAAAATAAATTGTTCTACTGAAAATGTCCTGCACTTATATGTTTGTCACAGCACTATTCACAAGAGCAAAGACATGGAATGGAATCAACCCAGGTGCCCATCAGTGGTGGTACATATACACCATGGAATACTATACAGTCATAAAAAAGAATGAAATTATGTCCTTTGCAACAACATGGATGCAGCTGGAGGCCATATCCTGAGCAAACTAACTCAGAAACAGAAAACCAAATACCATATGTTCTCATTTTTAAGTGGGAGCTAAACATTGGGTACACATGGACACAAAGATGGGAACAATAGACACTGGGGATTCCAAAACTGGAGAGGGAGGAACAGAGGCAAGGGTTGAAAAATTGCCTATCAGGTACTAAGTTCACTGCTTGAATGATGGGATCATTACAAGTTTAACGTCAGCATTACACAGTATGCCTCTAAACAAACCTACACATGTACCTCTTGTATCTAAAACAAAATTTTAAAATAATAATAATAAATGAAATAAAATTCCAATTCAACAACTATAACTTAATTTATATATTGTAATGCCTGATACTTTTGGGATCAACCTTGCCCTTTTTTTAAAAAAGCACATGATTTTAACATGTGTTAATTAAATAATATATATAATTATATAATAATATTAATAATACATTTCTTTAACATAGCTACTTCATAATTCTCAAAAAGTTTCGTATATCAAAAAGTGAGGTTTTTTAAATTTGTATTTTAGTTATTACAGGTACTTAATAGTTGTATTATCCTCTTATTTTGTGTTTATTTCCATCTATTTTTCTTCATCCTTCCTTCTTTCTGTGGATAAATTAGAGCTGCATTTAAATCAAATCTAAAGTTAAGTAAAAGAAGAGAAACGTTTCTGACTATACCCTAGGCAGAGTAAATATTGATTTGCATTCATTATCTTACTCCATTCTCATAAAAATCCTATTAATTTACCATTAGCATTATTTCTATTTTTTCAAAGGAAGAAGTTGAGGCATCAACTGAATAAATAATTATTCAAGGCCATGAACATTGCAAAGGTAGAACTAAGTCTTAGGTCTTCCAGCCCCAAAGCCTGTGTTTTGTCATGTGCAGTACATTATCTTAATTCCATCATGTTCAAATAATTATAACCAATAGTCAATAATGCATTTTTAGGCATGGATAAAAACGATAAAACTCTTAGTTATTCTAAACAGAATTTCCTAGAAAGCTTAACAAATTCCCCCAAAGAAACAGTTTTTTACTCCACAAATTTTTAAAATTGGCTTAAAAGTTGAAATTTTCAAACTAAAGGATTAAGAAAACACTTTTTTCCAGTTATTTACAAATGAGCTAACTTCTAGAATATCTGTTCCATCTAATTTTTGCCATAAAATTGTAGTTTCTACAAATCTCTATATGATTTAGTCTTATGCAATAGCCAGTACTAAATAAATATGACCGTACCGTATAATATGTTTTTATAAACATTAAATAAATTCATGCAAAGTACACCACATGTTTATATTTCTAAAGGCAAAGCTTTCTGTTATCAGCAGTGACTTCAAAAGAGGTAGAAGACAGGCACAATTTCAGACTGATTTCTCAGCTAACATTCAGTCATTTTTTAAATAATTTATACAAAACTGCATTAAACAAAAATGACTGTTTTAACTATTTTTCTTGCTTAAGAGAAATCACAAGCTTTAGCTCTTTAGGTGAAGCTGAACTGACTGGTACTGAATATCTGTCAGTTTGGTTTATTGCAGTTTGTCTACAGTGCAGATTTTTGTGGTAAGAGCCAATGGATACTTGCTTGGTATTAAAATATCTGCTATACTGTTTCTGGCTCTGGCTTTTGCTTTTTCTTGCATTTTATAGGTTGGCATAGATTCTGCCAAAATATGTTCTACTTTATATACAAGATGCTGTTGTAGTACTTCTAATAGCTTGAAATAGGAACACTGGAGAAGAAGGTTGTTTTTATTTAGTAAAACAAACTTCCATCATAAAAAACATTGGCTTCAACATAAAAACGGGATTCTGGGAAAATGATGGCAGTAACATTATATTTAATCTCAAATATCTTTATAAAAATAGAGCAATGAAATAGTAAAGTGAAATCCATGAACGAAATTTATAATATAATTAGGTTGCAAGTTATCCCTACAAACCCGAAATGCAAGTGGGTGGGGAGAAAACATGGCAGTTACAAGCCCTGCGTTATCTCAGCCTTTGTACACATGAAAGCCTAGAGAAACAACCAGACATCTTAAGATCTGAGAACATAAGGTTCACCAGGGGCCAATCTGAAAACAGCAGCAAAGTCTGGGAGGAGTTTTGCCTACTTCATAGTCGGGCAATACAATTGTCTGTTAGGAAGGTGTGAAGGGGTCAGAGAAATTTAGTCTCTATGAATTACTGAAACTGAGAAAAGAGTTCCACACTGCGTGGGGGGAAACAAAATCAACTACTGAGAATTGAATTAAAACTTAACCAGGGCAATAAAAATGAGGACAAAAATGTCTACATAAAAGTGAGGGAGGGGCCTGCTGGGGCAGGAGGAGTGGCAGTTAGGTGGGCTATGCCAGATGATCTCAGGCATCTCTGCTGACACCGGTGAGCAAGCTTTGTCTCTAGCTGTATCATCATGTTATGAGGCCATCCCATCCTGTCATTGGCATTCTAGTGTTCCTGCCGGGATTTTACCCCTGTGCATTACCTACCATGCATCCAAAGGCTGCTGGGATTACTTTTATGCTGTCATTTCAGATTTTGATGACAAGCACACATCTCAGACTTGAAGAGAAGTCACAGTGGGACTCCGCCCAGCTTTAAGATATTGAGCAGAAACTGCGGCTAAGGGCTAAGGAATTGTGCAGTTTGCAGATGTTTAACAAAATAATTGCCAGATTTTATGGGTCCATTCCAAAGATGTTAACTGAGCTTATAATTAGCTAATTAGGACAAGCTCTGCTTTTCATCTCCTGGTTCTGGCAAAAGCTCCTGACAAATTTTTCCACATGAATATGTATCATGGAAGAATAGCAATGTTAATTGCCTGAGAAAATGGGAGTTTATTCTTTAGTGGAAAGTGTTGCCACCACCACTCTCTTTAGAGTTGAGCATTTCTTTTAGATAGTCTTCACTGTGAATTTGTTCTTGCAGCAAGTGGAAGAATGCAGTGTGTCTAATTTCTTATTACTAAGTAATTTATTTTTAAAAAATCTAAGTAACTAATCCCCTACACTTAACTTTACCTTCATGCTGTAGTGAAAAATCTTGGTAAAATCAAGTATCAGTGTGAGTCCATCTGTAATATTTTTTAGTCGCTTTCTCATTGACAACAACTGGGACTTTATTTTCTTAAAATATTTTTTAAAGTTCTGGGGTACAAGTGCAGGATGCGCAGGCTTGTCACCTAGGTAAACTTGTGTCATAGTGATTTGCTGCACTTATCAAACCATAACCTAGATATTAAGCCCAGCATGCATTAGCTATTTTTCCTAATGCTCTCCCTCCCCCCATCACACCCTCCAACAGTGTGCCCACTGTGTCCAAGTGTCTTTCATTGTTCAGCTCCTACTTACAAGTGAGAACATGCAGTGTTTGACTTTCTGTTCCTGTGTTAGTTTGCTGAGGATAATGGCTTCCAGCTCCATCCATGTACCTGCAAAAAACATAATCTCATTCCCTTTAATGGCTGCATAGTATTCCATGGGTATATGTGCCACATTTTCTTTATTCAGTCTATCATGGATGGGCATTTGGGTTGATTCCATGTCTTAGATATTGTGAATAATGCTGTAATGAACATATGTGTGCATGTATCTTTGTAATAGAATGATTTATATTTGGTGGGGGGTATATACCCAGTAATGGGATTGTTGGGTTGAATGGTATTTCTAGTTCTAGATTTTTGAGGAATCCCCACACCATCTTCTCCCACCCATCAGAATGGCATTTATTAAAAAGTCAAGAAACAGCAGATGCTGGCAAGGTTGCTGAGAAATAGGAACACTTTCACACTGTTGGTGGGAATGTAAATTAGTTCAATCAGGACTTTTTAAAATCACAGAGCAAGGTTTCAAAATGTAAACATTCACTGTTTACCAATCCTTGGCCAGCTTTGATCTGTCTGGTTGACCCAAAGGTTGGACGACATACAATTTGGGTTACTCTGTCCTTTGTAGATCAAGATGTTCTCTATATCATGTCTTTAAGGACTAGACTTTTGGCCATTTCCTAATGAAAAATACAGATAAGTTGTTATTATTTAGAGTCTATAACCCTATTGCCAGCATCTTCTATTATGATGTCATTCTGCTAACGATTGCAAGACTCAGCCTGGATCCTTACAAGACTAGATTGCCTTAGGTTGATTATGTTTCCTAGCTTGGAAAACATGACTTATATTCAAAAGAAATTAAAGTGTTGAAATCCAAATCCTAAAAAAAAAAAAAAAAATGTGAGGCAGGGGAATTAAGCCAGAATAATCTTATATTTTTAAATACAAAGTGGAAAAAAATATGAGACCTCTGTAAAGTTAGAAAAGCTATTCTGGTACAAACTGGCTTTTCAAAGTCAAGAAATCTAATTTTATATAAAAATCAGCATATGAAAATAAGCCTTGGGTATATCATTAGCTATATAGAAATAAGACTAAATGAGAAGAGAATATAGAGTATAAAGGCTATATGCTAGGACAAAGTAGGTATAGTAAAATCAGATATAGCTGAGAACAAAAAAGAACACATGCAAAACAATTAAGTATACCCAATCATTATTTTAGTTTTGGAAATATTTGCATTGTTATTCCAAAACTATTGTGAATATGGTTTAGAATAAGGCAAATGAGAAATTATTGAATACTGAAATCTTATCACAAAACCAGTATTCTAATGGCAAAAGGAAGAAAGTAAAGATATAAAGTAGAAAATGTTGAGTAGTCCTGAAGTCCTGAATTTGAATTGGAAATCAGGATGAACTCATTAGTCTCTTTATCTGTCTATTGATGAATTAATTATTCTCTTTTTCTTTCAAGCTCCATAAACAACATAGTAAAGGAAAAAAGTGGATGAAAATGAGCATTCCTAGCACCCAGACAGTAGTCTTTCAATACATTTTTCCACTAAAGAAAGTGAGGGCCTCTTGAAAAAATGGCTGATTCCAGGTCTGAGGCTAAGAATAACCAAAACAAGCCTGGGGTATTTTGTCTGTTACTATCACATCAAAAGGAGACAGGATCCAACTTGAAGATGTGCTACTAGTCAAAGATAGACAACTTAATAGAAAAAAGATAGGACAATCTGAACTCCAAACTGGGTTGAATTTATACTCATAAATGGAAACCCATCAAATATGTTTAAATGCACGAGTTCCTAATCATACTTTAAAATCTAATTAGTTACTTTCAGGAGATGAGATGGAACAAATTTTCTAGAAATATGTAAAATAAAGGGAAGGACCAAGAACTTATTCTGTTTTCTCCCCAAATGTTAATTTTATTAATATTTTATTGTTACTTAATAATGAAATAAAATGCGTATTAACACTTAAATATAATAAATAGTACATATGCTGATATCCAATTAATAGGTGAGGAAAAGTGAAAACTTTACAATGTATTCCAGCTAATAATAATTGTAACAGAAATGATCGGATTCAATTCTCAATAAATTAATGGATCTAGGCATTAAGCATGACTAACAACTAACACATAAAAAGAGACAAGGTGGAAAAATAAAAATCATGTGTGATCTTGCCAAAAATATCTCACCTAAGTCTAATTTCTTCCAAGTTGGAGAAAATATAGGGGACAGTGGAAACAATCATTAGCGTAAAATTAGCAAAATCCAGATGGGGGAAATTTGCAATTTAAATGAATTGTGTTTTTCAATTTGAAACATGGCAAGAAAAAGATGGCATTCGAACCTGTAAATTAACAGACTTAAGATATACAACAAATTTTAAGAAAATATGTAATACTAAACATGTCTAAAGATGCATATGTAGATAAAAAAATAGATATACAAGGAAACCATTACATAAAAGACAGGATTATATTTATTTATTGAGTGTTGTGATCAAGATTGGGCAAATGAAAAGGTTTCAGAGCTTTCAATCTATAGAATTCCCCCCATAGATATAATTTTTTAAAATAAAATAACCTTTTATATTTAGCTATATAGTATGATTTTTATTTAAACATTATATCAAAAATTTTTTACATCAATAACTATGCATGTATAAAATATGCTATATATGTAGTAATCTATTACATGGATATAACAGAATTCATTAATTGTAATTAAATTCATTAATTATTTTTGATAGATTATTCAATTTTTAAAAATTATAAACTATGCTATATTGAAAATAGCTAAAATTTGCAAAACACTTCTATATATGTGATTGTCAGGCTAAAAGATATTTAAAAAATTATTAAGGATTTGGTATGTATTGATAAATTATTCACACAAAAATTTTGTGCATGTTTGCATATTATGGTCTCTCCTATTTGTGGTTATAATCCTTAACATATTCATAAATGTAATAATTCTTTTTTATTTACACATTTAATATGTTCTCATTGCTAAAAAATTAAAAACAAATAAAAAGTTAAAATTAAATTTTAGAAAACAGATATTCAGGATGGGTCAGTGACCCATGTCCTTGAATCCTGATCATAATATAATTGTATGACTCATGCCAATCTCTGGTCACCTGATGTGTCAAATGGTATCTTTCTGTTATTTGATTGTTAGTGTAAAGATTGATTTTTAGCTATATTTCATTTTGTTAAATTTATTTTCATATTTACCTATTTTTCTATTAAGCACTTCATTTTTATCCTATTCATTTCTAAGAATTCCTTATACATTTAGCATAAATTTCCTGTATCACTTCTGTACAATTTCCAAATTGTTGGCCTTTTATTTTTACTTTCTTCCCCCATGTCATCAGTGTTTTTTTTCCCAATATAGTCCTATATTGCTTTCATTATGTCTTCTGCTTTTCTCTTGTATTTGACACTGGTAATTTAATTGTTCTTAATTTTTATATTTAAATATTTTATATTTAAATATTAACACCCTTTGCAAAACTTTCAAATTCTCCCAAATTCAAGTTGTTTCAAAAATAAAGTTTCATTAAGATCGATATTTATTTGAAATTAATAGTAAAATTAAAAAGCACTCAATCATAGATAGAAGTGTATTGATTGTAGGATAAACCAAAAGTTCTGTGAGAAAATTTTTGGGATCAGAGAGTGTTTTTTACACTGTGACATTAATAACTTGGTGTCTTGCCAATTAATTCATCTGATCTTCCACCTATTCCCTTGCTGACTATGCTCTAGCAACACTGGTCTTTCTACTAATTCTTGAACATGCTATTTAGGCTCTGGCATATGCATTTCTTATTTATTCAGCCTGGAGGTATCTTTCCTCAGACACACGAATGGCTTGCTTTTTTTCCATGTTTAGTTCTACATTAAAATGTCTACATTTTAGTGACATTTTCTTAAACTAGTCTCTTTGAAATGGCAGCATCACTCTTTTGACCTTCCATCTCACATAGCATTACCACCATCTGATGGATTGTCTTTACTTATTTATTTATGTTTGGCCTATTTTTACAACAAGAATCTAAGCTCCAAAAAGAGCAGTTATTTTCCCATTTTATTCAATTCTGTAGCAGCCCAAACCTAGATTAGTGTCTATGACATATCATATTCTCTATAGGTATTTATGGAATTTATGAAAGACTGTAAATTTATTATTACAGCTTATTTATTCTGCAGCCATTATTGACTAATGATTGTAAGGCTTTCCTGACATTAATGTTGTATGATCTAGACATTCCAATTTCTTAGCATATTAGAACTCTTGGCTATTGGCGGCAACTTACTTGCATCCAAGAGATTTGCTGCCTGCTTACGTGGTGACTGAACCACCTAAGGCCCAGGAAAACTAGCAAACTTCTCTCTTTTCTAGTGGGTTGCAAGTACACTTATTCTTTAGTTTGAACCCCAATCTTGGTAAGAAAGCTTTCCTACCAAGTTTATGTTTTCCTGGGGAATCTCTTTCAGTCCTACTCTACCCTTATATCTGAGTTACCCTTTCAACAGATTTCAATGATCTTCACATTAAACTTCTGTTTAAATTACTGTGCGCTTTCTTTCTATTGACTGGACCCAGCATAATGCAAATACCATTTATAAAACCAAAAACATAAAATGATAGAGATGATTAAAATATATAAATATGTAAAAGATCAGTACACTAAAAATGAAAAACTATTGATGAGAAAAAGTAATACCTAAGTAATTAGAAAGATACAGCATGCTCCTGAATTTAAAAAGAAAACTTAATTTTATTAAAATACACATTTCCCCCAAAATGATTCCTAGATTTAATACTATTCTAAACAAAATTCTATTATGCTTTCTAGTAGAAATGTAAATTTCATCTACATTGTCAATTTGCTAGTGTAACACTGTTTAAAATTTTTCTTGTAATCTTTGTAATGTAGGTAGAATAGGTAGTAAAATTTCCTCCTTTGTCCCAGATATTGGTGATTTCAGTATTTTCTGTTTCTATTTGTTTCATTATGTTTTACTTATTATTTATCAGTCTAGCTAGGAGATTATGTGTTACCTTTATTTCTGGAGAATCATCTTTTGCCTTTATTAATTTTGCTTATTGTTTGTGTTTTTGATTGTTAAAATTTGTTTTCAACCATTCTGCTTTTATCATCGATTCCTTCCTTCTACTCCAGCACTCTCTATTCTGTTTTATAGACTTATTTGTTTATCTTGATGCCAATACTGTACCATCTTGATTTCTTTAGCTTCACAATAAGTCTTAAAAACAGGTGATTTTATCCCTTCAACTTTATTTTTATTTTGAATGCTGTTTTAGCTACTTTGGATTCTTTGCATTTCCATATGAATTTTAGAGAGAATTCATCAGTTTTCCTAAATATTCATTTAAGGTTTTTATAGAAATGACATTTAATTTGTAGATCAATTTGGAGGTGTATTAGACCTTTTTCACATTGCTGATAAAGACACACCCGAGACTAGTCAATTTACAAAAGAAAGAGGTTTAATTGGACTCACAGTTCCACATGGCTAGGGAGGCCTCACAATCATAGCAGAAGGCAAGGAGAAGCAAGTCACATCCTTTGTGAATGGCAGCAGGCAGAGAGCTTGTGCAGAGAAACTCCCATTTTTAACACCATCAGATCTTGTGAGACCCATTCATGATCACATGGGTCTTTCTCACATGAATGGGATCATGAACAGCATGAGAAAGACCCGCCCTCATGATTCAATCATCTCCCACTGGGTCCCTCCCACAACATGGGAGGATTATGGGAGCTACAAGATGAGATTTGGGTGGGGACACAGAGCCAAACCATATCATTCCACCCCTGACCCCCTCCCAAATCTCATATATTCATATTTAAAACCAATCATGCCTTCCCAACAGTTCCCCAAAGTCTCAACTCATTTCAGCATTAACTCAAAAGTCCACAGTCCAAAGTCTCATCTGAGACAAAGCAAGTCTCCTCCACCTATGAGCCTGTAAAAACAAAAGCAAATTAGTTACTTCCTGGATAAAATGTGGGTACAGGCATTGGGTAAATACAGTTATTTGAAATGGGAGAAATTGGCCAAAACAAAGGGTCTACAGGGCCCATGCAAGTCCAAAATCCAGCAGGGCAGTCAACTCTTAAAGCTCCAAAATGATGTCTTATGACTCCATGTCTCATATACACGTCATGCTGATGCAAGAGGTAGGTTCTCATGGTCTTGGGCAGTTCTGCCCCTGTGGCTTTGCAGGTACAGCCTCCCTCCTGGCTGCTTTCATGGGCTGGCATTTAGTGTCTGTGACTTTTCACGGCACATGGTGCAAGCTGTTGGTGGATCTACCATTCTGAGGTCTGGAGGACAATGGCCCTCTTCTCACAGCTCCACTAGATGGTGCCCCAGTGGGGACTCTATTGGGGGGGCTCCAATCCCACATTTCCCTTCTTTGCTGCCCTAGCAGAGGTTCTCCATGAGAGCCCACCCCTGCAGCAAACTTCTGTCTGGACATCCAGTCATTTTTATACATCCTCTGAAATCTAGGCTGAGGTTCCCCAACCTCAATTCTTGACTTCTGTGCACCTGCAGGCTCAAAACCATAGGAAAGTTTGGACCCTCTGAAGCCATGGCACAAGCTCTACCTTGGCCCCTTTTAGGCATGACTGGAGGAGCTGGGATGCAGGGCACAAAGTCCCTAGACTGCACACAGCACAGGGACCCTGGACCTGGCCCAGGAAACCATTTTTACTTCCTAGGCCTCCAGGCCTGTTATGGGAGGGGATGCCATGAAGACCTCTGACATGCCCTGGAGACATTTTCTCCATTGTCTTGGGGATTAACATTTGGCTCCTTGTTACTTAGGCAAATTTCTGTAGCCAGCTTGAATGGGATTTTCTTTTCTATTGCATTGTCAGGTTGCAAATTTTTCAAACTTTTATGCTCAGTTTCTTTTTTAAACAATGTGTTTAACAGCACCCAAGTCATCTCTTGAATGCTTTTCTGCTTAGAAGTTTCTTCTGCCAGATACCCTGAATCATCTCTCTCAAGTTCAAAGTTTCACAAATCTCTAGGGCAAGGGCAAAATGCTGCCATTCTTTTTATAAAATGTAACAAGAGTCACCTTTGCTCCAGCTCCCAACAAGTTCCTCATTTCCATCTAAGGCCACCTCAGCCTGGACTTTATTGTTCATATCACTAGCAGCATTTTGGGCAAAGCCATTCAACAAGTCTCTAGGAAGCTCCAAATTTTCCCACATTTTCCTGTCTTCTTCTGAAACCTCCAAACTGTTCCAACCTCCATCTGTTACCCAGTTCCAAAGTCACTTCCACATTTTTGGGTATCTTTTCAGCAGCAACCCACTCTTCCAGTGCCAATTTCCTATATTAGTCTGTTTTCATGCTGCTGATAAAGACATACCCCAGACTACTCAATTTACAAAAGAAAGAGGTTTAATTGGACTCACAATCATGATGGGAGGCAAGGAGGAGCAAGTCACATCCTTCGTGGATGGTGGCAGGAAAAGAGAGAGCTTGTACAGAGAAACTCCCATTTTTAACACCATCAGATCCCATGAAACCCATTCACTGTCATAAGAACAGCATGGGAAAGACTCACCTCCATGATTCAGTCATCTACCACTGGGTCCCTCCCACAAAACAGGGGAATTATGGGAGCTAGAAGATGACCATATGAGGAGGTTAATTTATATCTTAACAATATGTCTTTTGACCTATGAAAAAGTGTGTGTCTTTATTTGGGAGGTTTTCCTTAACTTCCCTCATCAATGTTTTGTAGTTGTTAGTGAAGATTTCTTTCCTTGCCATGTCAGATTTGTCTCTAAGTATTTAATATTTTTATCTAATGTAAATGTATATATATATAACATATATACATATATATTTGTAGCAAATATAACAAAATATTTTTCAATTTAAATTTTCAATTATTTGTTGCCTATATATAGAAATGCAATTGATTTTTATAATAATCTTGTACTTATTTGTGTTCTGTAACCTTACCTTTCTTTGTAGACTATATGAGATATATAGACAATCATGTCATCTGAAAATTAGACAATTTTACTATTTTCTTTCCAATCTAAAGAACTTTGTTTATTTTCTTACCCTTATTTCACTGACTAGAGTATCTGGTACAGTGTTGAATGAAAGTGGTAAAAGTAGAAATTCCTCTTGTTTCTAATCTTCCGGGAAAAGCATTCAGTCATTCACTATTAAGTATGATGCTAGCTATAAGTAGTTCATAAATGCCCTATCAAGTTGAGAAAGTATCTTTATTTCTACTTTGAAAGTTTTTATCATGAATGTATCTTGAATTTTGTCATTATATTTTTCTGTCTATTAAGATGATAATTTTTAAAGAAATTTAGCTAATGAATATGATGAATTACATTGATTGACTCCTCAATATAAAACCAAACTTGCAGTCCTAGGGCAAAATCTACTTGGTAATAATTTATTATCTTTCATATTGTTGGATTCTATTAGCTAAACTTTTGTATATAATTTTAGCCTCTGTGGTCATAAAAGATATTGGTCTGTGGTTTTCTTTTCTTCTAATGTATTTGGCTGCTTTTGATAAAATAATAGTTTTGATTTGATAACAAGAATTGACAAGTATTCCCTCCTCTTCAATATTCTGGAAGAATTTGCGTAGAATTGCTCTTAATTCTTTCTTAAATATTTGGTAAAATTCTAAAGTTCAGCAAGGTAGGTCAGCATTTTGGGGGCTTATTTTTAACTACAAATTCAATCATATATATATATATAGTGCAAATTCAGATTTTTCTATAATGTCTATAGTGCATTGTGTCTTTAATTTGTACATTTTATCCAAGTTGTCAAATTTACTGGCCAGAATTTTTCATAATATCCCCTTAATGTCATTTTCAAACCTGTAGAATCTAGAGTGATATAACTGCTGTCATTTCAGATGCTGTTAATTTGTATCTTGTTTAGTTTGTTGATCATCCTGGCCAGGATTTTATCAACTTTATTCATCTTCTCAAAGAACTATATTTTGATTTAATTGATTGTCTCTATTGTTTTTATTTTACATTTAATTTATTTTCAGTCTGGCCTTTATTATTTAATTTGTTCTAAAAACCATGACTTTGATCATTTTCTTAAAGTGGAAGTTGAAGTCATTTATTTTGAGATCTTTCTCTTTTTCTAAAATAGGTATTTAGTGTCATAAAATACCAAGTACTGCTTTAGCGGCATTTGCTGTTTTTAATATGTGTTTTTAATTTTCTCTCAGTTCAAAATATTTTATAGTGTCACTTTTTATTTCTTCTTTGACATGTGGGCTATTAACACCTGTCTGATTTAGACTTTAAGTGTTTGAATAATATCCAGATATCCCATGTATTTGAATATATTTTTATTTTCATTCAGTTTTAAATATCTTTAAGTTCCCTTGGGATTTTTCTTTTTTTACGTATATATTTTTCAGAAGTGCTTCAATCCTTTGAAATGTGTTGGGACTTTTTATGGACTAGCATATGGTCTATCTTGGTTAATGTCCTCTGTTTTCATGCTGCTGTTGTAGTATCTAGTCTTTTATACATATCAGTTAAGTCAATGCCTTGATAGTGTCTTTCAGATAATTTATCAACTTTGAAAATATACCTGTTTTATTAATTCCTTAGAGATGGGTTTAGATACTTACAACTATGATTATGGAATTGTTTATATCTTACCTTAATTCTGTCAAATTTTGGTTCATGTAAATGTGTCTACACAAACATTTACAGTTGCTATGTCTTCCTGGTTAATTTACCCTTTAATCATTACTATTGAGGGAAAAGAGAGAAAGGAACCAGTTAGGCAGATAGCTAGGACAAGTCCTTGGTAGAATTCCTTTTTTGTTTTTTTTTTTTTTCTAACAAAGGAACAGCCTGAAAGATCAGGAGGCAAGGATGGATAAGGAGGCAAGGTCCACCATAAAGATGCCTTCTGTGTAACTAACAAGGGTCATGTATACATGGTAGGATTCAGTAAGCACATTCCTTCCCTTTTTTTGGGGACATACACAGGTAAGGGAGTTTGCACAGGGAAGGGAGGTGGGAGACTTGCTTAAACATGCCTAAGAGGAGTAACACAGAACCTAGCACGTTTGCAATGAAAATTCCACCCCCTCACACATGCGCAGAAAGGGAAATTAAACAATATAAAGTAACTTAGGCTAAGAGTTCGCATGCATGCTAAAAGGACATGGAATTTGCACCTTATGCAAATGAACACCTAGTCCTAACCAGTTTTTTGCTCCTTATGTAAATGAAATATCTCGCCCTACTAGCCTGTTTATAAAAGCCCATGTATTCAATTGTAGAAAAACAACCCTCTTTTGGGCCCCTTCTTCTTTGTGGAGAGCTTTCTCCTTTCACTTATTGAAGTTTCACTCCAACCTCACCCTTGTGTTCATGGCTCTTTAATTTTCTTGGTTGTGAGACAAAGAACTCTGGGTCTTACTTCAAACAACAAAACTGAAACATTGTGGTGCACTGGCAAGGCTGCTACAGCATTTTGATGTTCTTTACCGTTTTCAGAGATCCAAGTTACTTTTGTCATCATTACTCTTCAGTTTGGGAAACTTCATTTAGTATTTGGGAACTTTATTTTAGTGCAGGTTTTCTGGTAGTAAATTCTATTAGCTTTATTTTGTCTGAAAATGCCTTTATTTTGCCTTTATTTTTGAAGGATATATTCCCAGGATGCAGAATAATTAGTTAACTTTTTTCTGGTAATTTAGAGTTTTCTAGCCTTCATATTTGCAGATGTCAGTAGTCATTCAAGAGATTATTCCCAGTATGTAATCTGCCATTTTTGTCTGACTTTAATATTTTTCCTTTATCTTTCCTTTTTGTCACTTTGATTATTCTGTACCTATAATGGTTTTCTTTGTATGCATCCTGCTCAGATTTACTGAGCTGCTTAAACTAATACATTTATATCTTTTTCTCACTAAGGAAAATTTTTGGCTTTTATATACTGAAATATATTTTCTAACCATTTTTTCTCTCTCCACCTTCCACTACTCCTCTTAAACATATGTCATACTTTGTGTTATGCTTTCTTGAATTCCTTAGGTTTGGGTAATATTTTTCAAGATTTTTCTCTCTGTGTTCTTCAGATTAGTTGGTTTGTATTGATCTATCTTCAGGTTCACTGATTTTTTTCTCTTAATGAATATGTATCTTTTCTTAAAATTTCAGATATCATAGTTCTGTACTTGCAGAATTTCCATTTCATATTTTTTCTATTAATATTTTAAATATTTTCATTAGTTATGAACACACTTTTTTAAACTTCACTAAGCATTGTTATAATATCTGGATTAAAATTCTTATCTGCAAATTCTTATCTGTGATCACAGATTTGGGTTGGATTCATTGTCTTTTCTATTGAGAACAGAGCACATTTCTTGGTTCATAGTCCTTTAACTAATTTTCCACTGTACTTTGGACAATGTTAGTATTTTCTTTGAAGACTCTGGGAGTTTTCCAAAGAGTGCTTATACTTTAGTGTCAGTCAGCTGTTAACTTGGTTGGACTAAAACTTTAAACTCTGCTCTTTGGTGGCAACTCAGACCTGTAGATTGATTTTGTCTTATTTTTATTTTACTTTAGCTAATTACATTCTATTCATGCATGGCTTAAAGTCAACCAAAAGGTTCTTCAGAGTTTACCTATGCAACTCTGGCATGTGCTCTCAGGCTCTGCCATTTTGCCTTAACTTTCTAGGTGGCTGTATTTGCCCCAAAGTTATTCTCTTTTTTTCTTAATGCCAGATAGACTTCATGCTTTTATCAAAATTTCAACCACCCAACATGGAACTGAGTTTAATCTACCCTCTTGCTAATGGCTATTAAAAAAGCAAGTTACTCTGCAACTTTCATATTTTAACTCCTTTCAGAAGTTTCCTGTTTTGCTTTACTCACCAGTGCCTACTGGTCATTTAGTTTTCTCCACATTTAATGGTTGTTATCTATGGGTGAGTGAGAAATTGTGGAAGGTTACTCAATTTACTGAAAATGGAAATTTGAGCAATTAATGTTTTAAATGTTTTCTAATATAATTCAGATGGGGAAATTATAATGTTTCACTGGAACCACTGGACTTTAATATGGAATAAATGATGCCTCAATCCTTATGTAACATCATACAAAAAATTAATCTGAAATGGGTAATTGTCTAGAACTGAAATGCAAAAACTTAAAATAAATTTAAGGACACACATACAAAAATACCTTATGATGTAAAAGCAGTTGAAATTTGCATAGATAGTTCACAAAAAGCAATACAATGAAAGAAATATTAATAAGTACATGTAGTAAGCAATCTTCAAGATAACCCTGGATATCCCCTGGTACTTCCTGGTCTTCACTCCCTGATGTAGTAGTCCCTCCCACCCAATACTAGTGTTGGTGTGTGTAACCAATAGACAATGGCAGAGGTGATAGTATGCCATTTTCTGAGGTTAAGTTTTATCAGACACTATAGTTTCCATCTTGGCCTTTCCTCTCTTGAATAACACTCTCAGGAAATTGAGTTGACTTGTGATAAACAGCCTTATGGAGAAGCCTATGTAAGCAGGAACTGGAGACCATTCAAAAGCCATGTGAGTGAGCTTGGAAGCAGATTCTCCAGCTCCAGTCAAACCTACAGCTTTAATGCAGCCTCATAGGAGATCTGAGCCCAGAACCATCCACCTAGCTACTCCCAGATTCGTGATTCTCAGAACTATATGAGATAATAAATGTTGTTGGTTAAGCTGATTGTTAAATAGTAATAGACAACTAACAAATGAGATTTTATTAAAAATATTAAAAATTATGTTCTGTTAAAGATGCTACTAAGAAAATAAAAGGCAAGCTATATACTGGGAAAAATTACTCAAAATAAATATATGTAACAAGTATTGTAACCAAAATACATAAAGGCCCCTTGGGGAAAAACCCAGCTTAAAAATGGACCCCAAAAAATAGATACTTCACCCCCCCAAACAAATAATACAAATGGTCAATAAAAACATTTAAAAAGCTTACCATCATTAATCTTCAGGGAAAGGCGGTGCACGGTGGCTCATGCCTGTAATCCCAGAACTTTGGGAGGCCGACGTTGGTGGATCACCTGAGGTCAGGAGTTCCAAGACCAGCCTGACCAACATAGTGAAACCCCATCTCTGCTAAACATACAAAATTACCCAGGCATGGTGGTGCATGCCGGTAATCCCAGCTACTTGGGAGGCTGAGGCAAGAGAATCACTTGAACCTGGGAGACAGAGGTTGCAATGAGCTGAGATCAAGCCATTGCACTTCAGCCTGGGCAACAAGAGTAAAACTCCATCTCAAAAAAGAAAAAAAAGTCTTCAGGGAAAGAAAAATTAAAATCACAATGAATTACCACCACCCATCAACTAGAATAGCTAAATGTAAAAGGCTGGCTATTCCATATGTTGGGAAGAATATGAAACAAGTGGAATTCTCCTTGACTGCCAATGGGAATTAAAGTGGTAAAACACTTTAACTTTGGCAGTTTCAAACACTTTAAGAAACTTTGGCCGTTTCTTAAAATGTTAAATATACACTTATCATACAGTTAGCATATGATCCAGCAATTTTTAAGTTATTCACTATGTATTTACCTGAGATAACTAAAAACATATGTGTAAAAAAGACCTGATGTGAAGGTTTACAGTAATTTATTCATAAAAGTTCCAAGTGGTAAATACTGCAACTACCCATTAACTAATGACTATTTGAATGCATTGTTTTGTATCCATACACTAGAATAGTTATTATTAATATAAGGGACAAACTACCGATACACTAACTAGATGAATGTTATGTTAAACAAAAGAAATCAGACATAAAATACTAAATACTGTATGATTTCATTTATACTAAATTCTAGAACATGCGAAACAATTCAGTGGTGAAAGCAAGCAAATCAGTTGTTGTCTAGAGGTAGAGGGTGAGGGTCAGGGGTTTGTCTGCAAAGGAATAAGATGGAATGTTTTGAGATAATAGCATCATTGAGGTGCTGATTTCATGAGTACATGTATTTGTGAAATTCATCAAACTGTGCCTTTAAAATCTGTGTATTGATTTATACATAAATTAAATTTCAAATAAGTGTATTTAAAAAGACAAACTTTTGTCAAGTAAATGAAGCTGTGCATTTTTTTATTTTTAAAATAGAGGTTGAATATCTGAGATCATAGGGTGTTTAAACACTTTAAGATCATACCCTAATTGTTAAATAACAGACATAGGAAGTTTTTACAAGTTCTAAATTTAACATCTACAAATACTTATTCTGTATTTAAATAAACCACAAAGATAAGGATGCTGGCTTTTGTAAACCTTGTGTGCTTATGTGTTAGCTATATATGTGTGTAGAAAGGAATAGAAGAGGGGGAGAGAAGAGACTAATAGCATAAGAAAAAAAGAAATAAAAATAAATATGTCGTTCTACACAAAATTAGAACTAAAGTTTGCTCACCTTTATGTCAATAAGAAAATATTTAGAACCCCAATTATTGAATATTTAAAGAGACACATGAACTATTTCTACATAATATGAACTGTAGCTACAAAGATAAAAAACATAACAATGCTCCTAATTTAGCTATTTATATACTTTGCATTTTACCTTTTCACTGTCTTTTACATTTGCCTCTAACTTATTTCATGTTAGAGAAAAAACACTAAGGTTGGATACTGGAGAACAAGATCTCTGTAACTTACTAGTTATAAAATAAACTTAGGCAAATAATTATGTGATCTCAACTTAATCATCTGTGAAAGAGAAAAAAAGGATGCATTTTTGGGGTTTCAATTGAGAGTGTGACTAAATGATGTCAACATTTTTCTAAAGTTTTAGATTTTGTAGTTAAAATTAGATTCATAGTTTATATACACTCACACATAAATACACACATATGTATATTAATACTTACAGAGGGATAATTTATACTGAATTTGGTTTTGAATTGCATTCTGTATTTAAAAAGCATAATTGTTTTTAAGCATTATTAAGGTATAATTGAGAAATTAAAACTTTATATATTTACAGTGTTCAAAGTGATGTTTTGATATAACTATACATTAAGAAATGATTAAATCAAGCTAATTAACTTATCCATCACCTTATATATATTTTTTTGAGTGAGCTGAGAACATTAAGATCTACTCTCTTAGAAACGTTCAAGTATACAATACATTCTTGTTGACTACAGTCACTATAGTCACTATGCTGTCCAATAGGTCTCTAGAACTTACTCATCTTGTCTCAGTGAAACCTTAAATTCTTTCACCATTTCTCTATCCTTCAGCCCCTGTCTCAGGTCCTGGAAATCATCATCCTCCTCTCTACTTCTTTGAGTTTGTCTTTTATTCATTTTCACATATAAGTGAGATCATGCAGTATTTGTGTTTCTGTCATGGCTTAGCTTATCTTGCATAATATCCTCCAGGTTCATCCACATTGTTGTAAATGACAGAATTTTAGTTTTTATTACTTTTTTAGAGGCTAAATAGTAATCCATTGTGTATATATATTACATTTTCTTTATCTGTTCTTAGGCTAATTCCACATATGGGCTATTGTGAATAATGCTGCAATGAACATGGGGGCACAAATATCTATTTGCCATACTGATTTTATTTCCGTAGAATATATATCCAAAAGTGAGATTCTTGAATCATTTTATCCCACACCATATATAAAAATCAACTCAAATTGGATTAACGACTTACAAGACCTAAAACTACTTGAAGAAAACATATGGAAAATATTTCTTGATAGTGATCTCAGCAAAGATTTTTTTGGATATGATCTCAAAAGCACAGGCAAAAGATCAAAAAGTGTGCAAGTGAGATCACATCAAAATGAAAAGCTTCTGCACGGTAAAGGTAACAATCAACAAAGTGAAGAGAATATATATAGAATACGAGAAAATATTTGCAAATCATATGTTTAATAAGGGGAGAATATCCAAAATATATAAGGAATTCAAAAAGGTCAATAGCACGGAAAAACTAGCAATTAAAAATGGAGAAAATACCTGAATAGACATTTCTCAAAAGAAAACATACAAATGGCCAATAGGTATACAAAAAGTAATCATCACTAATCATTGGGGCTACGCAAATTAAAACATCAATGAGGTATCACCTACAAATGGCCAAGAAGTGTGTAAAGAATGCTCACTATCACTAATCATGATGGAAATGCAAATTAAAACCACAATGAGGTATCACCTTACACCTGTTTACAATGGCTATTATCAAAAAGACAGAAGATAACTAATGTTGGTGAGGATGTAGAGTAAAAAGAAACTTTGTACATTGTTGTTGGAAATGTAAATTGGTACAGCCATTATGGAAAACACTGTTGGCATTTCCTCCCAAAACTGAAAAAGTTATTCTTAGTTTTGACTATTTACATAGCTAATTCAATAAATATTCATTTTGCTGAAGTCCAAGACTTAATTTTTCTCTCTAGGAATCTCTAGGTGTAGACTGTAAAGGGTGAATGAAAACAAAAAAATTTAATAACTTCTCAACAGTTATACACACAGTTTCTTAAATACGTAATTTACAGTATCCATGCTATTACTATTATCACTATTATTACAATAAACCTACTGCATAAATTTTCTCATGTTCTATAAAAATGGCATTAAATAGAGTTTGAGTAGTTACTGGTTAATTATTTGATCTCAAACATAACAGATATATTCCCTATACATTTTTAACAATGTGTTTTAGTTTTCTGTCCTCAAGACACTGGCAAATAAATATGGCAATTGGCAAAGGCAGCTGTCAAAATAAATAGTTGTTTTCCTCCACACACATACATTGTTTTATTTTAATTGTAGGTGGGATTTTGTGAACTCATCACATTTTGGGAATTTTTTTTTTGTCTATTCTAAGAGCAAGACAGCAAAAATAGAATTGTAAATTCCAAAGGTCTCCAAAATCATTGATGCCATTCAATAAAAGTATGAGAAATAAACTATTTGGTGTTTATAAAAGCATCAGTTAGCAAAACTTGAAGGTCAGTATATCAAAACTTCTCTTCAAAGTTGAAATACATGATTTTCTGTCATATTAGTCAGTATTGTTGCAAGTCTTTTAAATATATGGGTCCATAAAAGGGGCCAAATGAGATACAAGAGAAAAACATATACTCTGAAAAAGAAAAGATTCTTAAAAGATACAGATCATACTCACAGATTCATGTTAATATATATTGCACTTTCCCTGTAATTCTAGGATTTTTCTTTCTTTTTATGGGGGGTGAGTGGTGGATTACCTACTGGTAGTTCATATACCCACTGCTGTAAATTAAAACACATCTTTCAGCATTGATATGAAAAATGACAGTAATTATAAATAAATAGCCATCAATACAGTGTGTTTCCCTGATGATTTACTAATACAGTTCTTGCAAACTGTTGATGGGAATAATCAGAGCCATGCATTTTTTATAGCAATTTTCCTTTGAAACTTTTGTGTAACATAAATGTTACCTAGGAGAGATAGGGAGAATTTGAAAAAACAAAAATTTACAAAAATGTTGGATAGTATTTTCATGTACATTATCACTTTATGTATAACTAATCTTTTTCCTAATAGTTATAAATTTAATCACAATATACGATCCCCTGAGTTTAAATTCCAGGTTCAACATCTTGACCTTAGGCAAGACACATAACTATAAGCATCGGTTTCCCTATCTATTGTTAAAAGAAAACCTTTTAGCTCAATTAAGTTTAAAGTTTAATTGAGCAAAGAACGATTTGCAAATCAGGTAGCCTCCAGAGCCAGAGTAGGCTCAGAGACTCACATGCAGCCTTCTGGTAGAAAAAGATTTATAGACAGAAAAGGGAAAATGATGTACAGAAAACAGAAATGAGGAACAGAAACAGATAGATTGATTATAGCCTGGTGTTTGCCTTATTGAACACGGTTTGAACAGTTGGCCACCTTTGATTGGAACAAGAGTCTGTTTATAACTTCATTTAGGTTATAGTTCGTGATGTGCAGAGAAACCTTTAGGTTATAGTTCGTGATGTGCAGAGAAACCTTTAGGCCAAACTTAAAATACGTAAGGCGGCAGCTTTAGGCTAAACTTGATTTAACACTGTAGAATAAAAAATTTTAGGATATGTATTGTATATTTGTTAGCAGGGAGAAAGCAAATAGTATCTACCATGCCAGGTATAACACCTAGAATAAAATAAGGATTAAAAATGTTAATTTATATTCCTGTTCTTATCCTTACATTGTGATGTGTTATAATATGATGTGCAATATATTATTCAGCAAACATATTCCAAATTACATAGATCAATTTATATCATCTCTCTTACTAAGTAAACAATGGTTGTAGTATTTGATAGACATTATATTTCAAAATGCTCAGGACTAACTTAATTAGCACAATTTCCTAAAAAGTTTGTGACATAACGATCAACCAAACTTTCTTAAATTAATATACCTATGAAAAGTGAATAATAAAAATTCAACAAAGTGAGAACTTAAGGGTGACATAAATAATCCTACTAAGCTAAATGGAAATTTCTGAATTACAGGCATAACTTGGAGACAGTAAAAGTTCTGTTCTACACCATCACAACAAAATTAATATTGCAATAAAGTCAGTCACATAAATTTTTTGGCTAGCCAGTCACATAAAAGTTACATTATAATACACTACAATCTATTCAGTGTGCCGTAGCATTATGTCAAAACTGTACATACCTTAATTTTAAAAAACTTTATTGATAAAAAATGCTAATGGCCATCTTGGCCTTCAGCCAGTCATTAGCTTTTTGCTGGTGTGGTCTTGCCTCAAGGTAGATGGCTGCTGAAGATGATGTGGTGGTTACTGAAGGTTGAAGTGGCTGTGGCAATTTCTTAAAATAAGACAGCAATGAAGTTGGCCACATTGATTGACTCTTCCTTTGATAAAAGATTTCTTTGTGTCATGTGATGCTGTTTTACCCACAGTAGAACTTCTTTTGAAATTAGAGTCAATCCTCTCAAATCCTGCTACAGCTTTATCAACTAAGTTTTTGTAATATTGAGATGGGAGAGTTCCCTGGCCCCCTTCATAGGATGTGCAACAGGGTTGTGGCTCTCCAGTTGGCTCCTGCGAGCTCAAACCCGTTACAGGAGGGGGAGCATGCTGACAGGCAGGTGCAGGAGCCAGGGTGAGCTCTTTGGACTCTGCCCCAACATTAATGTCTAAAGGTGGATGTCTTCAACTGCCAAAGTCCAAGTGGGCATGTGTTACAGTGTGCTCTTTCAGCTTTGCTATTCACAGATGGCTTAAGTGTTAACCAGCTCAGTGTCCTGTTGGTACCCAGGTCCTTGTCCGGCATCCAGGAAGAATCAGGTTACACATGGACTGGAAGGATGAATGTAGGGGTTTAACTGAGTGGTGGAAGTGGCTCTCAGTGGGATGGACGGGGAGCAGGAAGGGGGATGGAGTGGGAAGATGATCTTCTCCTGGAGTTTGGCTGTCCAGCGGCTGATGTCCTCCTCGATTGTCCTGAGCCAAACTCCTCTCGGTATTCAGACATTCCTTTTCTTTTTTCCTTCTCTACCATGCTTTTCTGCCATTCTTCTGCTCATCTGCTTCTGGAGCCTGGGGTTCAGGGTTTATATGGGTATAGGATAAGGGATGTGGTGGGACAAAAGGCAAACTTTTGGACGTGAAAGCAGGAATACCTGTTCTCATTTAGGGCTGGGGGATTCCAGGCTTGAGTGTGGGGACTCTGCTAGGGAACTGCCCTCTTCAACCCATTATTTCTCTGTCTCCTGTTTGTATGAATATTCTAAATTATTTGTTTGCCATTTGAACATTGTTCACACCATCTTTACCAGAAGTAGAGCCCATCTCAAGAAACTTTCTTTGTTTATCTAAAATATGCAACTCCTCATCTGTTTAAGTTTTATCATGAGATTGCAGCAATTCAGTCACAACTTCAGGCACCACTTCTATTTCTAGTTCTTTTGCTATTTCTACATCTGCAGTTGCTTTCTCCACTGAGTTTTGAACCCCTCCAAGTTATCCATGAAAGTTGGAATCAACTTCTTCCAAACTCCTCTTAATGTTGATATTTTGAATCCTGAATATTTTTCATGGCATCTAGAATGGTGAATCCTTTCCAGAAGATTTTCAATTTACTTAGCACAGATCTGTCAGAGAAATAACTATCTGTGACAGCTATAGCCTTACAAAATGTATTTCTTAAATAAAAAGACTTGAAAGCCAAAATTACTCTTTGATCCATGGGCTGCCAATAGAATGTTTTGTTAGCAGTCATGAAAACATTAATCTCTTTGTACTTCTCCATCAGTGCTCTTGGTGACCAGGTGCATTGTCAAAGAGCAATAATATTTTGAAAGGAATATTATTTTGGAAGAGTAGGTCTAAACAGTGAACTTAAATGTTCAGCAAACCATGCTGAAAACATTTGAGCTGTCATCTAAACTTTGTTGTCCCATTTATAGAGAACAGGTAGAGTAGATTTAGCATAATTCTGAAGGGCTTTAGGATTTTTAATATGGTAAATAAGCATTGGTTTCAATCTGAAGTCACTAGTTGCATTAGCCCCTAAGGAGAGTTAGCCTGTCATCTGAAGCCTTCAAGCCAAGCACTGACTTCTCTCTAGCTACAAATCCTAGATGGCATCATCTTTCAATATAAAGCTGTATCATCTACACTGAAAATCTGTTGTTTCGTGTTGCCACCTTCATCAGCCTTCTTAGCTAGATCTTCTGGATAACTTGCTACAGCTTCTCCATCAACACTTGCTGCTTCACCTTGTGCTTTTATGTTATAGAGATAGCTTCTCTCCTTCAACCTCATGAATCAATCTCTGCTAGCTTCACACTTTTCTTCTGCAGCTTACTCACCTCTTGTAGCCTTCATAAAATTGAAGAGAGCTTGAGTATTGCTTTAGATTAGGCTTTGGCTTAAGGGAATGCTGCTGCTGGCTTGATAATCTATCTAGGCCACTAAAACTTCTTTCCTATATGTGATAAAGCTGCTTTCCTTTCTTATCATTCATCTGTTCACTGGAGTCATATTTTTAATTTTCTTCAAGAATTTTTTTTGCATTCACATATTGTCTAAGTGTTTAGTGCAAAACACCTAGCTCTCAGCCTGTCCAAGCTTTTGACCTGCCTTCCTCACTAAGCTGAATTATTTCTAGTTTTTGATTTAGAGTGGGAGATGTTTGAGTCTTTTTTTCATTTGAACACATAGAGGCTATTGTAGGGTTATTTATTGCTCTAATTTCAATATTGTTGTGTCTCAGGGAATAGCAAGGTCTGAGAAGAGGAAAAGAGGGAGAGAAATGTGGGAATAGCCACCTGATGAAAAGTCAGAACACACACATTTATCAATTAAGTTATTTGTCTTATACAGGTACCATTTGTGGTGCTCCAAAACAATCACAATAGTGACATCAAAGAACACTGATCACAAATCATCATAACAAATATAATAATTTAAAAGTTTGAAATATTACAGAATTACCAAAATGTGACACAGAGGCATGAAGTGAGCACATGCTGTTGAAAAAATGGTGCTGACAGATCTGTTTAACAAGGGATGCCACTAACCTCTGATTGGTAAAAAATGCAATATCTGCAAAAGTCAATACAGTGAAGCACCATAAAACATGATACTCCTATACTCAATTAAGCCTCAAATATCTTTGCTAATGAGATAGAGTAGTGTTAGAGGTGGGAAAGTTGGTGTTCTAATTTTAACAGTAAGAAAGGTGGGAAAAGCTAATTGAAGACATTCTAGGTTGATATTATGGAAGTAAGCTTGAATAAGAAATACTTAAGGGCAGTTTTAGTCACAATATATTCAGGCTGCTGATTGTGAAGTAAGAAAAGTTCAGGAAAAACTCTGGGAATCAGTTGAGATCAAAATCAAGACAGGGTCATTCAGTATTCAGTTCTTCATATATAAATGAAGAACTAAGAATTGTATTTGTTAATTTTGTGATGTTTTTATTACATATAAGTAGCTCAGAACCCAAAGAAGATTAACCAATAAATGTAATCACTGAATTTAGAAGACATTTCACTATCCCATGTTTATGTATTTATTGAGTCAGTTTATGTATTCATTCTAACTACATTAGTTGCTCTGAGTGCCCCCTTTCTATCAAAGATTCTCAAGATTGTCTATCCAGTTAAATTGAAAATCCTTTCCAACTAGAAGATATCTTAGGGAAGAAACACCATGATGAATTTTAAAAGATGAACTTCAAGGGGAGGTAGATGAGTGATCCTTATATCTGGTCTATTTTCATCTACTGAGATCACAAACGAAGCCTATAGGAGAAAAAAATGAACTTTGTTATATATAAAATTAGGGTTTTTGTGTACCACAGGTCCAAGTTATTTGATGAAACAAGTTATTTCACAAATATTCTTTTACTTTGATATCTCAAAGTGAGAGGTATAGAAATAGTAGACATTGATTGCATCAGATGCACTAGATTGGATTTATCACAGGATGAATTACCATTTTAGAGTCTCTGATTAAATCATCCAGAGAATTGTCTTCTAGTTTTGGCATTGTGAAGGAAAATCTGAGGCAACCCTATTTTTTACTTTTTAAATAAATAGGTAAGATTTTCTGTTAAGCCAAAATGTTTTGAAAGTTTTTCTTCTCCTTTGTACATATTTTATTCATTTTTCTTTTTTTCTCTTTTTTGCTTCTCTTTACATTGGATTTCCCTGGAATGTTATAATTTCTTTTAATTAGGTCATGTTTTACCCTGGGATGTATTTCTGATTTTTGCTTCTATTCTGGTCACTATTGTTTCTTTCTCTGAGTATGTTGGGGTTCAGAAAGTGATATTTCCAAAAACTGGCACTTTGATATTGAGAAGCCTTAGAAGCTGCCTCAGAATCAAGTTTCCTCTAACCCTGTCTCATTCTTCCCCTAAGGGCAGGGAGGGACTTTCTCCGGAGTTTTCTTACCTGACCCAGAAAGCTATCCAGAAGACAAGCAATTGTCCTAACTGTCTTTAGAGATCTCATAAAATAACCAGGAAAGGTCAATTACCTGAGAAGAGACTAGGAGTTATCCCCATGGCCAGAGACTTTCCATCTATTCTTCTGAGAGCAGCTTTAAGAAATTACCTGGGAAACTTAATCTGCATAAGGCTTTTGTTCCTGTGCAGCTCTGCCTCTCACCTTCCTGTAATGATTCCAAGATATATACATTTCTCCACTATGAAAGAGTATTTAAGCAGTAACCATCTGACCCCTCTCTGAGTTCATATTTTGTGCAACTCCTGTGCATACATGGGCAGGTTGATAGACTTTGTACATCTTTTCTGCTATTAATCTGTTTTTTGCTAGTTGATTTTTTAGTTACCCTTCAGAGGGGGAAGGAAAACTTTCCTCTTGGCCCCTACAGTTTTGGTGATGTGAGTCGAATAAACAAAACTCCTCTCTCTTTTGTAAGCTGCAGTCAAGGGAACCTAGAACTTAGCGAACCGGCAGAAGTATAAGAATTTGTTATCAGCCAGATTTCTGGTTGTCTGTCTTTGGAATCCCATCAACTGAATGGTGAAATCACGGTTTGCCTCTTTTTTTTTTTCTTTTTCACATTTAATATTAATGGGAGAAAAGCATTTATTTAGACTAGTCTTAGGTATAGCAACTATGATGTATTTTTTTATCTGAATATTCATATTGTCTGATCCTTTTCTTACCAGAGAGTCTTTATTATTTTCCTTGTCTTTCTGTCTCATTTGTCATGAAGATTCCTTCTCATCTTTTATGTTCTTGAGAGCTTGACTGTGACCAAGTGAGAGTAAACTCTCTTGGTATCCACCATCGGGGTGAGAATATGATTTTTTGGGTCATTTCCGGTGGCCAATGTGAAAGATCTGGGAACCTGAGTCACGTAAGATATTAAAAGGCACATATTTTTTTCTCTTAGTTTTCTATGTGTGAAACTCTCAAGGGAGTTTGTCTTAATAAGAGCTCCCACCTATTAGGGGCTTTTGCTGTTTCAACCTTTGTTGCCCAGTTAGCCTAAGACAGTTTCGACCCAGGAGGACCTACTCAGTGTCATAAATTAATAAGTCTGTGACTGGCAGCCCCCAACAAATATGTGAGATAGTGGAGACAGCATATGCACAAACACTGTCCTTATCTGTCCATGGCAACAAGAGTCTTTTGCTATCTTAGCCTATTCCTGGGAGTGAATTTGTGAGGAATCATGAGGGGATACCTTTTATGTGCCCATTTTTTAAATGCCCCTTACATCCATGGTGTACGCTAAACCTGCAATGTTACCCCTGGGACTTACTGTGAAAAAGGCTTATTGATTTGAGTCACTTATGGAATAAGTAAATTGGTTATATTTAAAAGAAAACTTTTTTAGAGGGCTCTCGTCTTAAACAACTCACTTATTTGTTTCTATAAAAAGTACAACAAAGGTTTTCTTCTAGGGTTTTTATGGTTTTAGGTCTTATGTTTAAGTCTTTAATCCATCCTGAGTTAATTTTTGTATCAGGTGTAAGGAAGGAGTCCAGTTTCAGTTTTCTGCATATGGCTAGCCAGTTTTCCCAACACCATTTATTAAATAGGGAATCCTTTGCCCATTGCTTCTTTTTGTCAGGTTTGTCAAAGATCATATGGTTGTAGATGTGTGGCATTATTTCTGAGTCCTCTGTGCTCTTCCATTGGTCTATATATCTGTTTTGGTACCAGTACCATGCTGTTTTGGTTACTGTAGCCTTGTAGTATAGTTTGAAGTCAGGTAGCGTGAGGCCTACAGCTTTATTCTTTTTGCTTAGGATTATCTTGGCTATACGAGCTCTTTTTTGGTTCCATATGAAATTTAAAGTAGTTTTTTTCTAATTCTGTGAAGAAAGCCAATGGTAGCTTGATGGTGATAGCATTGAATCTATAAATTACTTTGGGCAGTATGGTCATTTTGATGATATCGATTCTTCCTATCCATGAGCATGGAATGTTTTTCCATTTGTTTGTGTCCTCTCTTATTTCCTTGAGCAGTGGTTTGTAGTTCACCTTGAAGAGGTTGTTCACATCCTTTGTAAGTTGTATTTCTAGGTATTTTATTCTCTTTGTAGCAATTGTGAATGGGAGTTCATTCATTATTTGGCTGTCTATTATTGGTGTATAGGAATGTTTGTGATTTTTGCACACTGATTTTGTATTCTGAGACTTTGCTGAAGCTGCTTATTAGCTTAAGGAGATTTTAGGCTGAGACGATGGAGTTTTCTAAATATACAATCATGTCATCTGCAAACAGGGACAATTTGACTTCCTCTCTTCCTATCTGAGTACCCTTTATTTCTTCCTCTTGCCTAATTGCCCTGGCCAGAACTTCCAATACTACGTTGAATAGGCATGGTGAGAGAAGGCAACCTTTTCTTGTGCCAGTTTTCAAAGGGAATGCTTCCAGCTATTCCCCATTCAGTATGACCCAGCAATCCCATTACTGGGTATACAACCAAAGGATTATAAATCACTCTACTATAAAGACACATGCACATATATGTTTATTGCAGCACTGTTCACAAAAGCAAAGACTTGGAACCAACCCAAATGCCCATCAATGGATAAAGAAAATGTGGCACATATACACCACGGAATACTATGCAGCCATAAAAAAGGATGATGAGTTCATATCCTTTGCAGGGATATGGATGAAGCTGGAAACCATCATTCTCAGCAAACTAACGTAGGAACAGAAAATCAAACACCGCATGTTCTCACTCAGAAGTGGGAGTTGAACAATGAGAACACATGGACGCATGGTGGGAAATATCACACACCGGGACCTGTCAGGGGGCAGGGGGCTAGGGGAAGGATAGCATTAGGAAAAATACCTAATGTAGGTGATGGGTTGATGGGTGCAGCAAACCACCATGGCATGTGTATACCTATGTAACAAACCTACACATTCTGCACATGTATCACAGAACTTAAACTATATTTAAAAAGTACAGCAAAAATATAGCATGAAAAAATCTCTTGGAAGATTTTTTTTAAAGGCAGAAATCAAATTTTAAGAAAATACCCCAAAAATATAGCCTTAAAAAATTTCTTGGGAGGTATTTTTTTAAGGCAGAAATCAGATGTTAAACAAAGGATTTAAAGTTAAAATCCTTTGTACACTCAAACTGCCTGCTTGTATACCCTGCAAGATTTGGCAAAAAAGGCACTCTACCCTGAAGTCTAGTGGCTAGGGTTCCATGCATTCATTGACACACCATGGCACAAGCTCAATTTCCATCAGAGAACCAACCACTTGAAGATGTCATACTTTACCTTGACAAAAAAAGAAATATTTATAAGAATGAGTTTGAATTATTTGTTTTGAGTTTATATTTGTGTGATTCGACTTTTGAGGGCATCCATTTATTATTGATCTTTCTCCCTTCCATAAGCAGCCATTCTTTTCCTGTTCATTGCTAAGTTTCTTTTTCTTTTAGCTGCCTTTGGGAGTGGCTTTGGATCTTGTGAGGACTGCTTCTTTGCATCACTTTGGAGATGCTCACAAGACCTTGGTTAAATAATAAAAGGCTTATTGGTTTCCATTCTGAGTTACTTGGTAAATATAAATATCTTTAGTTTAAAAGAAAGGAGAAAAGGAGAAAAAAAGGTTAAAATGCAGGAATATTGGCTGTGTGCCCTGGCTGAAGCCTGATAATAAGAAATTTGAAAAAAAAAAAGATTTTTTAAAGAGGTTTATGGTCAGAAATTGGCTTAAATAAAAGCTGATATTCAGGCTATATATATATATTCTTTTAGAGATGTTTCTGCCTTTTTTGAATCCTGTTTCTCCTCTGGGGACTCTTTTTAGTCAACTGAAACACTTTTTATAAAAAATTATATGTTTGGTCTCTGCTTTCTTTCTTATTGGAAAATTTTTACTGAGAAAAACATAACATTTTATTGGTCTTTTTAGGAAGATTGAAATCTCCCCAAACTGACTCCTTTAAGACTTGTTGCATCTGCTTCTACTCCTTTTTGTCCACCTTCATAGTTCCATCCAGTTGTCTTTAATCATTGATATGTTTTCCTTCAAGCCTCTACCTCCTCCCTTTGATGAGCAGTGAATGGAGAATTACTTACACACACAAACGCGCACGCACACACACACACACACACACACACACACACACTTCTGGTTATCACATGAAGGGTTCTAGAGAATCACTTCTAGTGATTCTGAGTCTCCTTAAGGAATATACCCAAGGCACCACTGGCCCCTTTCGGGGTCAACCGTCTTTCAAGTGGAGCCCCAAGAGTCATGAGGGACTTCAGCCCTATTTGTTAATGGACTCTGCCCTGAACTCAGTAATCCAGTTAATAAATAAATTAAAAAGCCACCTACTGAAATAAACTTGTTTCCAAAGTACAACATTCTGACATTTAGATCTAAATTCTGTGTCTTTGAGATTTAAATGGATATAAATGTTCTACTTTTTTATGTAAGAATCGTCCCATTAAAAGTATAAATTTATGATCGCCTAGCTAACAACTGTTTGGGGCAATGGAACAGGTAATAAGAAGATTGATGGTCTGAATGGAAAAGACAAACTATAAGCCAGCAAATGAAGAATCTTACTGAAAGTTATAAGATCTGCTCCTGTTCATGTCTGTATGTCTATATGTGTCATGTGTGTGTGATATTTCTATGTGATCTGAGATAATATTTGATAAATAAAGCTAGTTTTAAAATTGTTGGCAAAATAAAATAGAAATGTCTTCAGAATTTAATTTAGACATTTTTGCCTAAGTCTATTGGTCAGGCAAATTTATCTTCCCAATGCTAGATGTTAAGGTCATAAAACTGTTGCTCCTGTGATATTTTATACTTGCTTGATTTTTCCATATGCTAAAACTGCAAAAATTGTTTGTTGGGCTTCCCCAAATTACACATCAATGATAGAAAACTAGACTTACAAAATTGCTAACTTAACATCAAGCAGAACTAGAATTAACTACATGGGACTAAACTGATGAAGGACTCAAATTACTTTTTTTACTTTTTAAATTTGAAACATTGCTGATTATTTTTGTTTCTCAGAACCAATTTTTTTTAAGCTACTTATAGCTTGCAGCAATTAGGTAACATGCAAAATGGAAATATTTACTTTTCTCTCTATTGGATCCCTCCAGAATTCAAAACTATTCATGATTATTCTTATTTTATAGCAATACAGTTGTTGGCATAAGTTTAATAAGAATCTGTTTTCTTTTGCAACAGGAAACAATTAGAGGCACTGGTTATTTTACTAAGAATTTGAGTGGTGTATCAGTCTGTTCTTGCATTGCTATAAAGAAATACCTGAGACTAGGCAATTTATAAGAAAAAGAGGTTTAATTGGCACATAGTTCTTAGGTTATGTAGGAAGCATGATGCTGACAACTGCTTGGCTTCTGGGGAGGCCTCAGTATACTTACAATCATGGCAGAGGGCAAAGGGAGAGCAGGCACTTTATATGGCCAGAGCAGGAGCAAGTGAGTAGGGGTGAGGGGGAGGTGTTACATACTTTTCAATGAGCAGACCTCACGAGAACTCACTCACTACAAGGAGGACAGTACCAAGAGGGATGGTGCTAAACCATTCATGAAAAACTCACCCTCATGATCCAATCACCACCTCCCACCAGGCCCTATATCCAACATTGAGGATTACATTTCAATATGAGATTTGGGCAGGGACACATATTCAAACTATATCAACTGGAATGTTATAATTTCAAATATGGCCAGACTGCTTTGAGAGACTGAGGTTTACTTTTCTGGGGCCAATTAAAAACCCCAAGAAAAAACTTGACTGGTACCTTGCATGTCTATTTTTTACAGAGTTCTTGACCTTGCTTTAAGGAAAGAACAGCACTTTCTGACCGGCTGAAATATTTTGGGATCTTAAACAGAGTGATACTCACTTGATTCACACAGGAATAACAGACACAGGCTTTAGTCTCAGGAGGCTTTTAAGAAGTTCAGTCTGAGATTCCTTATTTTTAAAGTTCCAGAAAAAAGGATTTAAAACTGCCTAAATGATAAATTACTGTTCTTACTGCACTTTATGCAAATAATCAGGCCAAGTATAATAGGACTACAGCTTATTTTACAAATAAATTGTTCTTACTATGATTTTGGCTTAAATAGAAGAATGGAAAAACAAAAAGTTGTGTGTCAGAAGAAAACCATAGTGCACCTGTTATTAGATTCAAGCCTTGTGAATTGTTTTCGATTTTTATTATTAGACTAAAATTTGAACTGAATCCAGAATTCTTTCATGGCTGTAAGTCTCCAAACTAACATTTCCACATTTTTCTCCAATTTTTCTGGCTTGGACTCACTGATATTGAAACTACCTTCTTCCCAAGACCCTACAAGATAAAGCTCATGTATAAACTACCTTATGACATGCAAAGTATAAACCAGAAAAACTTTTCAGGTTGCTACTGCCTGCCTGATGCAACTGGAGATGCTTCAAACAGAAATCTAAGAATCTTCTCAACTGACTGCCCTCCAGACTCTAAACAAATTAGTTTATAGACTACTCCAGTTAGTAATTTTTATTTTTCTTTTATTTCATAGAAATACCTCTTATTTAAGACTTGTTTGTGTGAATCTTATATAGAGGGGTAACTTTGAAAGTCCATTTGCAATGCCATCTCTTTAAATGTGATACAACTGTTTATTTGGACAGGCTTATTCTCACAAAAGGGAGACTGATTTAATACACTTCTTTGCCACTTAGTTATTAACTTGATTTTTCTCTTCATAGTCACCAACTCAGGTTTTAGTGAATAAAACTGCTAAACAAATTTCAAACAGGGCAATGATAGGGCTCAGAAAATGATACCCCAAAGACTGGTGCATTGGCAAATTTTTTCATTCTCATTACATTAAATTTTGCTAAAATGTTATAAGGTTTTTGATATCGTTTACTATGTCACGTTTTAGCCCGAGAAATAATTCTTATTTTGCTTCTTTTCTAGTCACTGTGGTTCTTTTCTCTGGGTATGCTGAGGCACAAAAAGTGATACCCTCAAAGACTGGTGCTTTGACATACTGAGAGACCTGAGAAGCTGTCTCAGAATCAAGGTTTCTCTCACCTTGTTTCTCTCCACGTGCATGGAGGTGGTCTCTCTGGAATTTTCTTATCTGACCAAAAATGCTTTCCAAAAAAAAACCAAAAAATGCAATTGTCTTAAGCCGCCTCATTTACTAACATGAAAAAACCAACCACCTGAGAAGAGAAGCCATTGGAAGTCACCATGGCCAGACACACTTCTCGTTTATTCTTCTGAAGACAGCTCCAAAAGATTACCTGGGGGACTTTATCTGCATAATAAGACAACTTTTATTCTTGGACAGCTCCGGCCCTCACTTTCCTTTAATGTCTGTCTGCTGCCGCCTGGGTCATATGCCCTATGAAGAGCATATTTAAGCATTAACCCTCTGGCTTCTCTATGAGCTCATAGTTTGTATGACTGTTGTACACACGTGTGCACATTAATAAATTTTGTACACTGATTCTTTTATTAATCTACCTTTTGTCAGTTGATTTTTAGCTAAACTTCATAGAGCAAAGGGAATGTGTTCCCTTTCCCTTACAAGTACTACATCTCCAAAGGTTGGCTATCTTTTTGTTGTTGTTATCATGGTAATAATGATATTTTTTAATTTTTTTATGTTTATAGATTTAGAGGTACAAGGGAAGTTGTGTTACATAGGTATATTGCATAATGGTGAAATCTGGACTTTTAGTGAACCCATCACCTGAATCACCTGAATAGTAAACATTGCAGCCAGTAGGTAGTATTTCCACCCTCACTCACCTTCCACCGTCCTATTTTTTGGAGTCTCCAATGTCTATTAATTTACTCTATATGTCTATGTGTACCCATTGTTTAGCTCCCACTTATAAGTAAGAACACAAAGGTTTTCACTTTCCTTTTCTGGGCCATTTAAATAAAGATAATGGCTTTTAGTTCCATCTATGTTTCTGTAAAAGAAATAATTTCATTTTTAAGGGCTGAGTGGTAATCCACTGTATACACACACATACATTATATGTATATATATAAGACATATGTGTATATATACGTACATATATTATGTATATATGTATATTACATATCAAATATATTATTTATACATTATATACATATAATGGATTTCATACTTTATTTTCATATATAAAAATGAAATATCTTTCATATGTATGTATATATATAAAAGATATAATCTCATTTTATATATACTTATATTTACATATGTGTGTGTCTATCTATATATATGTGTGTGTATATATATGTCAGTGTGTGTATGCACACACCACATTTTAAAATTCAATTATACATTCCTGGACACTTAGTTTGATTCCATGACATTTTTATTTTGAATAGTACTGCAATAAACATACAAATGCAGGTGTCTTATTGATATAATTATTTCTTTTCTCTTGGGTAGGAACCAAATAGTTGGAATGTCAGATCAAAAAGTTGCTCTGCTTTTTGTTTGTTGAGAAAACTCCATACTCTTTTCCATAGAGATTGAACTAATTTCCATCCCCACCAACAGTACATAAGCATTCAATTTTCTTCATGTCACTGATAACATCTGTTGTTTTTTGACATTTTAGTAATAGCCATTCTGACTGGTATAAGATGTTATCTTATTGTAGTTTTAATTTGCATTTCTTTGATTAGTAATATTGAGCATTTTTCATGTGTTTGTTGGCCCCTTGTATGTTTTAACTTGAAAAATGTCTGTTTGTGTCCTTTGCTTACTTTGTAATGAGGTTATTTGCTTTTCTCTTGTTGAATTGTTTGAGTTCCTTGTAGATTCTTATTCCTAGGTTTTCTTCTTTGATTTTTATAGTTTCAGGTGTTATGTTTAGGTATTTAAACCGTCTTGACTTAATTTTTTGTATATGGTAAGAAATATGAGTCCAGTTTCATTCCCAGCACCATTTATTGAGTATGGTGCCCTCTTTCCATTAGTTGTTTTTGCTAACATTGTCAAAGGTCAGTTGATTGTAGGTATATGTATTTATTTTGGGGTTATTTTTTCAGTTCCATGGATCTATGTGTCTATTTTTGTACCAGTACCATGCACCTTTGGTTACTGTAGCCTTGTGGTATAGTTTGAAGTCAAGTCATGTGATGCTTCTGCCTTTGTTCTTTTTGCTTAGGATTGCTTTGGCTAGTCACTCTTTTTTGATTACATATGAATTTTAGGATTATTTTTTTCTAATTCTGTGAAAAATGAGATTGGCTCTTTGATAGGAATTGCATTGAATCTGTAGGTTACTTTGGACAGGACAGTCATTTTAACTATATTGATCCTTTCAATCTATGAGCATGGGATGTTTTTCTATTTGTTTGTATCATCTATTATTTATTTCATCAGTGTTTTGTAGTTCTTCTTGTGGAAATCTTTTACTTCCTAGGTTAAATGTATTCCTAATTTTGTGTGTGTGACTATTTTAAATGAGATTGAGTTCTTGATTTATCTTGAATGCCATTGGGTGTACAGAAATGTTATTTGTTTTTGTTTTGATTGATTTTGTAACTTAAAACCACATATATGGTGGTGGTCCCATAAAATTATAATGAAGCTGAAAAATTTCTATCAAATAAACATCATAACATAATGCATTACCCAGGTATAGAAGATGCTGGTGTAAAGAAACCTATTTCACTGCCAGTTGTGTAAAACTATAGCACATACAATTATGTACAGTACAAAATATAAATAACAATAAACAGCTATGTTATTTATGTATTTACTATATTATACTTTTAATCTTTTAGAGTATAGTCCTACTTATTTAAAAAAAAATAAAAGTTAGCTGTAAAGCAGCCTCAGGTAGGTCCTTCAGGAGTTACTCCTGAAGAAGGCAGTATTATTGCAGAAGATAACAGTTCCATATGTGTTATTGCTCCTCAAGACCTTCCAGCAGGACAAGATGTGGAGATGGAAGACAGTGATGTTGATGATTGATATGGTTTGGATTTGTGTCCCTGCTCAAGTCTCAAGACCTTCCAGCAGGACAAGATGTGGAGATGGAAGACAGTGATGTTGACGATTAATATGGTTTGGATCTGTGTCCCTGCTCAAGTCTCATGGGAGTGGTTTCTCATGAATGGTTTAACACCATGACCCTTGGTACTGTCATCATAAATGTGAGTAGTGAGTTATAGTGAGATCTAGTTATTTAAGTATGTGGCACTTCCCCTGGCTCTTTCTTGGTCCTACTCCTGCCACGTAAGATGCCTGTTCCCACTTCGACTTCCATCATAAGTAAAACCTCCCTGAGACTGAGGCCTTCCCAGAAGCAGACACTGCCATGCTTCCTGTACAGCCTGCAGAACCATGAGCCAGTTAAACCCATTTTATTTATAAATTACCCTGTCTCAGGTATTTCTTTATAATAGTGTGAGAATGGACTAATACAATAATCTTGACCCTGCGTAGACCCAGGCTAATATAGGTGTTTGTGACTTCATTTTTGACAAAAATATTTAAAAAGAAAAAATAAAAATAAACATTTAAATATAGTAAAAGCTTATAGAATGAGGATATAAGGAAAGAAAATATTTTTGTACAGCTGTACAGTGTGTTTTCATTTTAAGCTGTGTTATTACAAAAGCATCAGAAAGTTTACAAAAACAAAGTTTATAGAGTAAAAACATTACACTAAGTTATTTATTAAGCTAGGTTATTTATTTAGTAAGCTAAGTTAATTTATTGAAGAAAGAAAGGTATTTTTAATGAATTTAATGTAGCCTAAGTGTACAGTGTTTATAAAATCTACAGTAGTGTACAATGATGTCCTTGGCCTTCACATTCACTCACCACTCACTGAGTCACCCAGAGCAACTTCAGTCATACAAGCTCTATTTATGGTAAGTGCCTTATGATTGTGTAACATTTTTTATTTCTTAGACTATATTTTTACTGTACCTTTTCTATATTTAGATATGTATAGATACACAAATACCTAGCATTGTGTTACAATTGGCTAAAATATTCAGTACAGTAACATGCTGTATGGGTTTATAGCCTTGGAGCAGTAGGTTATATATACCATATAGCCTAAGTGCGTAGTAGGCTTTACCATCTAGGTTTGTGTAAGAATGCTCTATGGTGCTTCCACAATGATGAAATCTCCTAGTGATGCATTTCTCATTCCTCACTATGCACGCATGACTATATTAACAAATATCTTGCTCTCTATGACTTGCTGTATATGCAATGTCTTTCTGTGTTACCCATTTATTCTTTTTACCATTTGATGCATTTTTGAGAACACATGACGCTTCAGGTAGGATGACTGATGAGGATGACACAGAGGTGATAGCAAATATGAACCAGGTGCTACTGCTTTTTGTTTATTCCCTTATTTTCTGCTCAAGTCTTTTCTGAGAGTAGCAGAGATAATAAATATTAAGAACAGGAAGAGTAAAGACAATGGAGTGTAGAATTCTAAATGTCTCAAAAAGAGTGTCTCCACAGTAACATATATATTTGTAAAATATTTTTAAAAAGATGTATATGACTGGAAAAAATGGAAGTAAACTATATTTCTTCTATATAGTTTGATTATATATACATGTTTACAAAATAGAATGCAGCAAATAGATATAAAAAATTATCAAGTAATAAGTACAATCAGTAATATGCTTTGATTATAAATAACTTAGACAAACATATAAAATTTCATATATGCTAGTACAATAATAATCAGTGAGTAAAGAAATTGATTCAAATATTATATTTACAATTGACAATCTAAATACATCAAATGCCCTACTACAAACTCTTTCAGAATAACAAAAATACAAACCAAACCAAAACAAAACAATCCAGAGATGACTACCTTAATAAAAGGTAAAAGCACATTCTGTTATTGGATAGAAGGATTAAATAATTCAAAATGTCATTTTTTCTAAATTAATATTTTATGTAATACTGCTTTATCTGTATCAAGTAAGAAAACTGTTCTTTAAGTTGAAATGAAAAAAGAAATATCTAAGAAAAATTGGAAATTATCTGTCAAAGAGAAGGACTGGGATAATGGCAGAGGAAATAGTACAGCTGGACATCAAATGATAGAGCTCTAGTTAATAAATGGTTGGTATAGAGTAGACTGACATATCAGTGGAGCATAATAGAGAACCTGAAAATCACCTCTCACACATAAATTGCTTTAACCTATGAAAATTAGTTGAAAAACATGTGTAGGTAAACAAATAATGGTGGAGAAATTGGCTAGGCATTTGAGTAAATATGAATTTCTACTACATGCCCTACTATAAAATTTATTCTAGATGGATATAATTTATACATGTTAAAGTGAATCTAGAAAAAGTACTAGAAGAATATATAATTTTTCTTTATGTCTTCTAATGGAGTAGGCTTTTCTAAGGATGACACAATCTATAAGCCTATAAGCCATAAAAAGGTTTGAAAAGGTTTGCTCATATAAAAATGGGAAAAAATGCAGAAAAATCTTTCACAAACCCATAAAATAAAAACAGGCTGAAAATATGTTTTTAATGCATAATAGGCCAAAAATAATAATTTGTGTTATATATAGTCACTTCAACTCAATAGGAAATAGAAATAACTCATTGAAAAAATAGGCAAGTGGCCTAGGATGCTTTTGGAAAATCTTAGAATATTCATATATAAAATATGCTTACTATTACTTAATTTTAGAAGGTTAATTAAAACAAAAATGAGAAAATATTTTTCAAAAGTGCAGCAAAACACTGTGTTGGAGAGGATGGGTAAAATGAGTATTTTTGTTTAATAAGAGCTGTTGATAAGTTTAGTAAAACTAAAATTATTGCATATATAAAAATCTCAAAAGTTTACTAAAACAAAACTGTTATATATTTTGAAGTCTTTAGAATATGACTAGAAGGAGAGGAGAGTAGTGTCAAAAATAGTGAAAACAAGAATTAAAATGAAGAAAAAATTAAGATAGCACTTGAAGCGGTAAATTTGAGCACTTTTTAATATTGTAATTAAAAATCAAAGTAACAAGAAGAATTTGACAAAGAATGAAAAAAATTAAGTCTGATCTTAACAGACAGTAAAAATTTTTCCTGTTGGCAAGCCATTAAGAAAATGGAATACATATTAGGCTTAAGTTAAAAGCATGAAACAACAGAAAATCTCACCTACTAAGAAAACATCCATTGGAGGAGCAGCAAATAATGAAAGTTAGAAATATTGGCATATGTGATTTTTAATTTTAGGTGTCAACTTGAGTGGGCTAAGGGATGCTCAAACAGCTGGTCAAACATTATTTCTTAGTGTGTCTGTGAGGGTGTTTCTGAAAGAGATTTGCATTTGAATCAATAGACTGAATAAAGAAGATTGCCCTCAGTGATGTGGACAGACATCATCAAAGTCATTGAGGGTATGGGTAGAACAGAAAGAAAAAGGAAGAGTAAATTCTCTCTCTCTTCTTGACTCACAACATCTATCTTCTCCTGTCGGCAGGCATCACAGCTCCTCTGGCCTTCAGACTGCAAGATTTACACCAGTACCTCTTGCCCCCTGCTCCCCCATTTTGCAGATCTTTGGCCTCTGATGGTTAGTTACATTATTGGCTCCCCAGGTTCTCAATCCTTCAGACTTGGAGTAAATTTCTCATTTGGCTTTCCTGGTTTTCCAACTTACAGATAACATATTACAGCACTTCTCATCCTCCGTAATTGCCTGAGCCAATTCCCATAATAAATCTCTTCATATATTTATATGTAGACGGTCTCCAATTTACAATGGATCAACTTATAATTTTTCAACTTTATGATGGTTTTATCAGGATGTAACTCCATCATAAGTCAAAAGCTCCTTACAGCTTACAATGGGATAACAGTTTCTACTGAATGTATATCGCTTTCACACCACTGTAAAGTTGAAAAATTGTAAGTTGGACCATCATAAGTTTGGGACCATCTGCTCTGTTGCCAGCATTAAATGCATTTTTGACTTATAATATTTTTGATTTGTGATGGATTTATCAGAATGAAACCTCAGTGTAAGATGAGGAGCATTTATATATCCCACTGATTCTGTGGAGAACTCTGAATAATACAGGTTTTGGTGCCAAAAATCGTTTTAGAGGAATAGAATTTTAAGTATGAGTTTTCTGAATTTGTTTTGGGGTTTGAAGAACTTCTTCTGTAATGTGATCATTTAAAGATTATAAGTACTCTATTTCCAGTCATAAAGTGAGCCTTGATACTCTATGATATGAACTGTTTATACAGATATCCAAAATATCTGCACTGGACACTACTAAGCAATCACCTAAAGGAAGCAAAGAGCTAAGTAACTCTGAATATGATGCTTCCAAATATTTTTGGTGAAAAATATATAATAACATTGGTTGGTTCTTCTTAATGTTGCTGGGCAAAGTGGTGATGAGAAAGGAGGAGTTTAAGGAATTTGAATTCGCAGCTCAAGGGCCATATAAATGACCTAAGAGCTTCTAGGTGTGCCCTGAGGGACAGACTTATCTCCTGCTGCCCAGCACTGCAATTATTGAAAATCAAATATAGGACCTTAGATTTTCAAGGTCCTTATCCTGTCATTGGCTAAATTACAACACAAGTTAAACTTTCAGCCTCACACAATGTCTCTTGTTAAAGTGAGAGCATTGATTGATTGATTGGGAAAGAATGAGATACTGTAAGTTAGGATGAGGATGTGTAGGAAGACCCCGATGAAGCTGGAGACAATGAGCCCTTAAAATCTAATGAGCCTTCTTTGCCACTGGAAGAGGTCTCCCCATACCCAGCAAAAGTGGTCTTCCCAAACCCAGCAGAAGCTGCTTTCCCAACAGTGGCATTGATCTTTCCAACTCCATCTGAAAGAATTAACCCTGCATTGCATGAGAAAAATGGTAATTACCTTTTCAAGAAAGACATACTCATTTCCTCAGGATCCACTTTCCTCCTCTTTCTTCTAGACCTAAATCTCAGCAGGCTCTTAAAGGTGAAGTACAAAGTGTGACCCATGAGGGTGTGGACTATAAATCCAGAAGAACTACTTGAGTTTTCTAATTTACAGAAACAGAAATCCAGATGAACATGTGTGCGATTAATATAAAGGATGTGTGAAAATGGTGAAAGGAACATAAAGTTGGATCTGGATAAATTTATTCATAAGGGCCTATTAAGGAGAAGTTCTGCATTTTATTCTTCAGCTCGTGGAGTTAGAAAAGGCTCTAACAGTTTGTTTGGGTGAAACATGGATCAAAAGGTAGCCTACAACGAGTGAATTAGAAATGCCTTATCTTCCTTAGTTTAATGTAGAGGAAGAGATTCAAAGGCTTAGGGAGATGTTAGTATTAGAGTAAATTTGCCATTTAAGACCTTCTTGACTCATCCACACTGGGAGAGTCGAGAAGACATATCTTTCAACAAAACTTCAACATATAAATTTGTGAGGGGAGTCCCAACATCCTCGAAGAGCTCAGTAGTTACTTTTCTCTGTAGGGCAGACCTAACAGTGGGAACCTCCACCACTCAATTGGAAATCCTATTGATAGCATAGTAATGGTAGTAGTAACTGGATCACAGGGTGGCAGAGACCAAGTGACAGCACTCAACCACCAAAAGCAAAGTGGGCATAATTACCAAAATGGACAAGAGAGTCAAAGGAGCAATCAGAATAGTATGTCTTGCCCAGATCTATGGTGTTAGCAAGTCAATCATGATGTTCTCAGATATAAAATAAATAGGAAGTCTACTAAATCTTACTTGATCTGTATAAGCAGTAAAGTTACAGGTCCAATGAACAGAAATTTGATTCAACTCATTAAAATATAGAGTCAAGGTCCCTTGAACAGTTCCCAGATTTCAGCCAGTTTGCATACCCAGGACTCCATGAATGCAAGGGAGGCCAGTTATGCCTCAAGGAAAAACATCAGTACACCACTGAAAATTTATACTGCTAATATTTCCACCAGTCTACTCCAGACAGAACAATGTCCTTTTACCAGGTTAACTGTGCACTAAAAAGAAAAGAAAATATTAAGACTTTTTTGAGACTACTGGACATTGGATCTGAAATAAAATTGGTTTCAAGAGACTCAAAACATCAGTGTGGCCTTCTATTTAGACTAAGGGCTTATGAAAATTAGGTAATCAATGACTAATTAGTAATTAGTAATTACTAATTACTGCTCATGTTCAACTCACAGTGGGCCCAGTGGTTCTCCAAACCCAAACTGTGGTTATTTTTCCTAGTTTCAGAATGAATCATTAAAATATAAGTACTTAGCAGCTGGCAGAATTCCCATATTTTTCTCCAACCTGGAGCAAGAGTTAATATGGTAGAAAAGGCCAAATGGAAGTCAATAAAACTGCCTCTACCTACAAAAATAGTAAATCAAAAGTAATACCAAAGTCCTGGAGAAATTATGGAGATGTGTTCCACCATAAAGAACTTAGATGCAGGGACAGTAATTTCCAATACATTCCCATTCAATTCTATTTGACTTGTGCAGAAGACAGATGGATTTTGGAGAATGACAGTAGGTTATTGTAAGCTTAACCAAGTAGTGACTACAACTGCAGCTGCTATAACAGATGTGGTTCCATTGCTTGAGTAAATTAACATCTCCCCTGATACCTGTTATGCAGTTACTAACCTGCCAAATGTGGTTTTTTTTTTTCTATAATTGTCCATAAAGCCCACCAAAAGCAGTTTTCTTTCAGCTGGCCAGGTCAGCAATATATCTTCACTGTTTCACCTCAAGGGTGTATTAACTCTCCATCCCTGTGTCATAATTCAGTTCACAGGGATCTTGATTGCCTTTCTCTTCCACAAGATATCACACTGGTCTATTGCATTGATAACATTATACTGATTGGACCTCATGCATAAGAAGTAGCAACTACTCTAGATTTATTGGGAAGACATGTGTGTGCCCAAGGATGATATATAAATCCTACTAACATTCTGGGCCTTCTCCATCAGTGATATTTCTATGGGCCCAGTGGTATGGTGCACCTTGATGTATCCCCTCTATGGTGAAGAACAAGTTGCATTGGGGCCATTCTACAATCAAGAAAAAGCCCCAGTGCCCAGTGGGCCTATTTGGGTTTTGGAGGCAACATATTCCTCATTAAGTATGTTACTCTGGTCCATTGATGGAATGATAGTTTTGAGCAAAACCCAGAACAAGAAAAGGGTCTGCAACAAGTCCAGGATGTTGTGCAAACTGCTCTCCCCTTGGGCCATAAGAACCAGCAAATCCAATGGTGCTTGACATCAGTGGTGTTTGAAGTATCAGTGGCAAGTAGGGATTCTGTTTGGAGTTTTTGGTAGGTCCTCATAGGTGAACTGTAGTACACCTTTTGGGATTCTGGGGCAAAGCCTTGCCATTATTCATAGATAACTACCTTCCTTTAAAAAACAGATCTCGGCCTGCTCCTGGGATTTAATAGAGACTGAATGCTTGACCATATGCCACCAAGTTACCATAAGACCTGAGCTGCTAATTATAAACACAGTGTTATCTGAATCAATGAGCCATAAAATTGGGTGTGTACGGTAGCATTGCTTCAGAAAATAAGAGTTGTATATATGTGATTGGGCTGAGCAGGACCTGAAGGCACAAGTAAGTTACATGAAGAAGTGGTCCAAATCCCCATGATCCTCACTTCTACAACACTGCCTTTTCTCTCCCAGCCTGTACCTACAGCCTAATGGGGAGTTCCTTATGATACTTAGAGGAAGAGAAGATTCAGGCCTGGTTAATAGATGGCTCTGCATGACATGCAGGCACTACCCAAAGTGAACAGCTGTAGCACTACAGCCCCTTTCTGGGACATTCCTAAATGACGATGGTGAAAGGAAATATTCCCAGTGGGCAGAACTTTGGTCAGTGCACATGGCTGTGCACTTTGCTTGGAAGGAGAAATTACCAGATATGAAATTTTATACTGATTCATGGTCTGTAGCCTATTTTTTCACTGAATAATGGGGATTTTGGAAGGAATATGAATGAAAAATTGGTTACAAAGAAATCTGGGAAAAACATGTGGATAGACCTCTCTAATGGGAAAACAACATGAAGATATTTGTGTCCTATATTAATGGTCAAAGGGTGACTTCAGCAGATGTCAATTTTAATAATCAAGTGGACAGGATGACTCATTTATTGGACACCAGTCAGAATCTTTCTCCAGCCACCCCTGTCATCACCCAATGAGCTTATGAACAATGGGCTATAATGGCAGGGATGGAAGCTAAGCAGGGGCTATGCAACATAGATTTCCACTCACAGAAGCCAGCCTAGTTACAACCACCTCTGATTTCCCAATCTCCCAGCAGCAGAGACCAAGCTGTAACTCCTGATAACGCATCATTCCTTGGGGTGACCAACCAGCTACCTGGTGGCCGATAGATTATAGAGGATCACTTCTATCATGGAAGGGGTAGCATTTTGTCCTTACTACAATAGGCACTTACTCTGAATATGGATTTGCCTTCTCTACACCAATGCTTCTGCCAAAATATATATGGATTTACAAAATTCTTTGCCAACTTACATGGCTTGGATATTTCTCCCCTCCAAATCTCATGTTGAAATGTGATCCTCATTGTTGAAGATGGGCCTAGTGGGAGGTGACTGGGTCATGGGAGTGGACTTCCCATAAATGGCTTGGTGCCATCCTTGTAATGAGTGAGTTCTCACTCTATTAGTTCACAAGAGAACTAGTGGTTAAAAGAAGCCCAGCATCTCCTCTCCTCTCTTTTGTTCCCTCTCTCACTGTGTGATGTGCCTGTTCCCCCTTCACCTTCTGCTATGCGTAAAAGCTTCCTGAGGCCTCACAGGAAGCCAAGCAGTTGCTGTTTCCATGCTTGTACAGCTTGTACAACCGTGGCCCAAATAGATCTCTTTTCTTAATAAATTACCCAGTCTCAGGTATTCCTTTATGGCTATGCAAATTCAGCTAATGCACCAACCATCATAGTATTCCACACACCATTGCTTCTGACAAATAAACTCATTGAGCAGCCAAATAAGTGTGTCAATAGGCACATATTCATGCAATTCACCAATCTTACCGTGTTCCCCAACACGCTAAAGGAGCTGGCTTGACGGAATGGTGGAATGGCCTTTTGAAGACTCATTTACAGTTCTAGGCAGATGGCAGTACCTTGCAGGACTTGGGTAATGTGCTCCGGAAGGCTGTATATGTTCTTAACTAAAGTACAACATATGGTACTGTTTCTCCAAAAGACAGGATTTATGGTTCTGGAATCAAGGGATAGAAATGGGAGTGGCACCACTCATCATTATACCTATTCATCCACTAGCAAAATGTTTGCTTCTTGTTCTTGCAACTTTATGCTCTTCTGGCCTAGAGGCCTTAGTTCCAGAGGAAGAAATGCTTTCACTAGAAGGTACAATAATGATTTTATTAAACTGGAAGTTAGACTGCCACCCAGCCACTTTGGGCTTCTCATACCTCTGAGTTAACAGTCTTAGAAAGGAATAACAATGTTGGCTGGGGTGATTAATCCTACTGCCAAGGGGAAATTTTACTACTATGCCACAGTAAAGGTGAGTAAGAGTATGTCTGGAATACAGGACGTATGTGAGGGCATATCATATCTTAGTATGGTCACATAATGCATAAAGATGTTTCACTGAATGACAGATCACCATCCCCAAAGTTTATAATATTATATTTTACTATGCCTTTTCTATGTTTAGATACACAAATACCATTGTGTTGCAATTGTCTACAGTATTCAGAACAGTAACATATTGTTCAGGTTTATAGCCTAGGAGCAACAGACTATACCATACAGCTTAGGTGTGCAGTAGGCCATGCCATTTAGGTTTTCATAAATACATTATATAATGTTTGCACAACGGCAAAATTGCCTAACAACAAATTTCTCTGAATGTATCCCTGTCATTAAGCAGCACATGATTATATTACCATGTGCTGTGATTAAGTTCAATGGAAAATTACAACACAACCCAGACATAACTACAAATGGCCTTGACCCTTCGGAAATGAAGGTTTGTCTCACCCTGTCACATCAAGAACCACAACCAGTTGAGGTTTTAGCTGAAGGCAAAGCAATATAAAATGGGTAGTAGAAATTAATTATAAATACCACTTACAACCACATAACCCATTATAGAAACTAGCAGTGTAGTTGTCATTGGTATGGTTGACCTTTGAACAATATGGATTTGAATGCTTTGGATCTACTTGTACAAATTTTTTTCAATAAATACATTAGAAAACCTTTTTGGAGACGGGTTAAATTTTGAAAAAAAATTGATCCACATAGCCCAGAAATATTTAAAAATTTGAAAAAGGTATGCTGTGAATGCAAAAATATATATACATACTAGTCAATTTTATCATTTAATACCATGAAATATACACAAATCTATTGAAGAGAATTAAACTTTATCAAAATGTAAAACTTTATCAAAATGTACACAATCACAGATATTATTCATAGATCATACATGGGGCCATTGCAGTCAAGAGAAATGTAAACAAATAAATTTGTAGTATTAAATCATAACAGCATAAAATTAACTGTAGTAATACTGTACTACAGTAATAATTTCGTAGCCACCTCCTGTTGATATTGCAGTGAACTGAAGTATTCTGAGTATCCATTTAAAACACCTGTGATGCTAATCATCTCCAATTTGCAGTTTGTCTCTTCAATAAATTGCCTATCACAGTAAAAAGTGATCTCTTGCAGTTCTTACATATGTTTCACCATGTTTGGAGCAATACTGTAAACCATGAATAACACCATGGGACCAATAGGGAGTGCCATAAATGATGCTGAAAGTGCTCTCAGGAAGCAGAAAAAAAAATTATGACATTACAAGACAAAGTTGAATTGCTTGATATGTACCAAAGAGTGAGGTCTGCAGCTGTGGTTTGCCACCATTTCAAGATAAATGAATTCGGGATAGTGACCATTGTAAAAAAAAGAAAAGGAAATTTGTGAAGTCATCAATGCGGTCACACCAGCAGGTGCAAAAAAGCTTTTGTAAACTACATTTGTATCACATATTGAAAATGCAGCTTTTATATGGGTGCAGAATTCCTATAAGAAAGGCACACCAGTAGACTATAATATCATTCAAGAAAAAATGAAGTTATTATATGACAACTAAAGCAAAAGGAAGATGAAGAATCTAAAGTTGGATAATTTAATGCCAGCAAAGGATGGTTTGATCGTTTTAGTGAGATGTTTTGGCTTAAAAAATGTCAAGGTAACAGGAAAAGCAGCTTCTGCCTACCAAGAGGCAGCAGACAAGCTCCCAGACTCTGTTAAGAAAATTATTGAGGAGAAATGATATCGGCCTAAACAGATTTTTAATGCAGATGAAAATGTCCTCTTCTTAAAATCATGCCACAAAAGTCATTTGATATTAAGGAAAAGAAGTGAGTACTAGAATTTAAGGCAGGAAAGGATAGGCTAACTCTACTGTTTGTGAAAATGTAGTCAGCTTGATGATCAGGATTGCCTTTTTATAAAGTTGCTAACCCCTGACCCTTGAAGGGAAAAATTAAACATCAGCTGCAAGTCTTTTGGATGCGCTACAACAGCTCCCAGGCAATGAAAACCCTTCTTCTGGATTATTTCCATTGACGATTTGTTCCTAAAGTTAGGAAATATCTTTCCAGTGTGGTACTATCTTTTAAAGTTATTTTGATATTGGACAATGCCCCTGGCCACCCAGACCCCAGAAGTTCAATAGTGAAGGTGTCAAAATGTTCTACTTGCCCCAAACACAACATCTCTAATTTAGCCTCTAGAACAGAGGGTCATAAGGACCCCTGATGCTCATTACACGTGGTTCTCTATGAGAAGAATTGTCAATGCTGTGGAAGAGAAGCCTGATATAGAGAATATCATGAAAGTTTGTAAGGATTATTGAAAATACCATTGTTAATATTTTAAAAAGCTGTGAAAGCCAGCAGGCTTTCAATGCAATACTGGTGAAGAAAACTGTCCAGATGTCATGCATAACTTCATGGGATTAATGATACAGCCAATCAAGGAAATCATGAAAGAGATTGTGGATATGGAAAAGAAGGTGAGGGTTAGGATGTTGAAGGGCTTCAAGATATGAATCTTGCAAAAATTTAAGAGCTAATAGACGCCACTACAGAGGAATTTATAGAAGATGATTTGATAAATATGAATGCTTCAAAAACAGTGCCAGAACACAAACTGACTTTAGACAATCTGGCAGAAAGATTCTAATTATACAAGACTGCTTTTGATTTCTTTCATGACATGGACCCTCCTATGATATGGGCATTGAAACTAAAATAATAAGTTGAAGAGGGCTTGGTATCACATAACAACATTTTTAGAGAAATGAAAAAAGCAAGAAAGTCAGACAGCAAATACAAGGTATTTCTGTAAATTTACACTGAGCGTGCCTGCCTCTTCTTCCTCCCTTTCCACCTCCTTCACCTCTTCTGCTTTTGCCATTGCTAAAACAAGAACTCCTAATTTTTCTCCTCCTCCTCAGCATACTCAACGTGAAGACAATGAGGATAAAGACCTTTCTGATGATAACACCTCCACTTAATAAATAGTAAATATATTTTCTCTTATGATTTTCTAGCCTGATTTATTGTAAGAACATATAACCCACAAAATATGTGCTTATTGGTTGCGTCATTGGTAAGGTTTCTGGACAACAGTAGACTATTAATATTTAGGTCTTTTGGGAGTCAAAAGTTGTATGCAGGTTTTCAAGTGCACTAACCCCTCTGTTGCTCAAAGCTCAACTGTATTTCCTCTTTATTTTGTTATTAATATATTTGTGTGTATATATACACATATTAAGCACATATATTGGTTTTCTTATCTTTCTTAATCCCTTATGATGTAACATAAAATGTATTGACTTTATGTCAGTATTTAGGTATTGTTAATTTTACATCATAGTATTTAAATTAGGGTACATCAGATAAGAATAAATATTACTCAAGAACTTTTATCTCCACTTCTGAGTTTTCAGCTGTAGGCAAGCAGAATATTTGTATCATGTAGATGGAATTATAACCTTGTTATTGTCTTTATTTGGAGATTAAGGATGGTTTAAGGGTATGCTCATGGGTGCCAAATTGACAAGAATTGGACTTATGATGGTTAATTTTATGGGTCAATTTGAGTGGACTAAGGGATACCAGATCGTTGGTAAAACATTATTTCTGGGTGTGCTTGTGAGGGTGTTTCTGGAAGAGATTAGAATTTGAAACAGTAGCCTGAGTAAAGAAGATCTTCCCTCACTAATGTGGGCTGGCATAATCTAATCCATTGAGGGCTTGAACGAAACAAAAAAGCAGAAAGGTGAATTTTCTTTTTCTCTTTCTTCTTGAGCCAGGACATTCATATTCTGCTTGTGGACATTAGAGCTTTTGTTTTGGAGACTTTAGACTCTGGGATGTATACCAATTATTCCATCAGTTCTCAGCCTGTGAACTCAGACTGAATTCCACCACTGGTTTCCTGGTTCTCCGGCTTGCAGATGGCATATCTTGGGACTTCTTGGCCACCATAATTATGTGAGCCAATTCTCATAATCATATCCTCATATATCCATAGATATCCAAGTGGTTCTGTTTCTCTGTGGAACTCTGACTAATATAGAATAATATAGATTATGAGTTTCCATGCTACTTAAATAAATTCAAATTTCTTTTTACTATAATGGGGGTTGTTATAAAATATTATAGAAAAATTACTCTAAGGTTACCCGAAGGAATGGATTTGAGATGGAAGAAAGACAGATTTTTCTGTTACAGAGAAAATAAAGAAAGGAAATGGTGTGTTAGCAGCACTGAGAATAGAAAACAAAGATAAATTCAGATTTATATGAGTTGATATTACTGGGCCTTAGCAAATAATTGAACTGTGGAGTGGGAAAGAGGCAAGGGATTTCTTAAGTATGTTGTGAATATTGAAGCAGTCACAGAGATAGAAAATTCAAGATAGAAACCAGTATGGCAGAGAAAGGTTGGAGCTGCAGAAATTACATAATCACATATGGGCACAATGATGCTGAGCTTTTTGTGGACTTTCCTGGTACATGTATCCACCAGGCAGATGAAACTAAGAAACTACATCTTGGAAGCAGATTCTGCATTGGTTCAAAAACATATGGTAGCCTTCAACCCATAATAGAATCTGAAATCATCTGAAGGAAATCACGGAAGGAGAGTGTTCAGAGTGAGGTGATGACAGAGGACAGAATCTTAGGTCCTACTAAACACTTAAAAAGTCATATGAATAAAAAGGAGCTGGTGATGGAATAAAAGATTAACAGTAATGGTTAAATGCATTAGTACTGAGTCAGTCACACTTCCTGGATTTGATTTGCATCTTTGTTTCTTATTAACATGACTATCTGGAGGGAAGTTAGTTTTCTTTCTGTAATAAAATATCTAATAGTATTATTCAGGTAGTTAAAGGAGAAATGCATTTGGAGTACTTAATAGAGTATTCTAAAATTATAAGTGCCTAATTATTAGTAAGTATGATGATATTAGGGAAAAAAAGGAGAAAAGATTAGAGAGGCACAAGAGAGTGTAGTGTCAAGGAAATCATGAGAGTGAAATTTTATGAGAATGTACTTTTTCGGCCGGGCGCGATGGCTCAGGCCTGTAATCCCAGCACTTTGGGAGGCCGAGGCGGGCCGATCACAAGGTCTGGAGATCGAGACCGTCTTGGCTAACACAGTGAAACCCCGTCTCTACTAAAAAAAAAAAAAAAAATTAGCCGGGCGTGGTAGCGGGCGCTTGTAGGCCCAGCTACTCAGGAGCCTGAGGCAGGAGAATGGCGTCAACCCGGGAGGCGGAGCTTGCAGTGAGCCGAGATCGTGCCACTGCACTCCAGCCTGGGCGACAAAGCAAGACTGTCTCAAAAAAAAAAAAAAAAAAAAAGGAATTTTTCTTTTTCTTATGGATATGAACACCAGACTGAAGGTAGAAAGAAAAAATCAAGTGCATTTCATTCAGCTTCTGTCTCTTAGGAACAGCCTATCTTTTCACTTCAAAGACAGGTGATTGCAAAGAAAATGAGGCAGCTTCTAATAACAGTGATTATGGCATTACTAGTGACTATGCTTATATAGAATAACATTCTTCCCTTTTGCAGGCATATATTTTTCTACTTTATTCACAATGTAATTTTTTCAACAACCAAGTGGACATTTGTGACTTGTGGGTATTCATCTAGAAAATGTTTAGGAATATTTGTCATAACTCCACATTACAAAACCTTGATTAACATTGGAAATAAAGACATAGTTACAGTTGTTAACAAATTTACCAACAGTAGGTAAATCACACTGGAGGAGATCAACTTTGGGCAAATTAACAACACAAAGGCGATTATTAAACTCTCCTTTGAGAGACAGGTGGGAATATTATCTTGGCAGGTTTGTCACTAGCTATGATGATAGTGAAAGCAATTGCTGTACAAAGAAATTATCCATATGTTTTAATTGTGAAATATAACAAGTGACACATTCAAAATGGTCATTGACAATCACTGAAGTGCAGAAGTTATGTGTATTATCTCACTTTAGTGAGTTTTTAAGTTTCATGGTAAAAATATATAATTGTAAACATCAGATACAGAAGAGCAAATGCTAAGAGAAGCTGAAAAACTATTGTAATTACTATAATTTACATGTCTGTGGAAAGTTTTTTTTTTTTTAATGGAGGGCTCAGTGTTCATTTTAGCAGAGATGCAGCTGAAGAAAAGCCATGGTATTTTAGCATTTAATAGTATTTAGTGTGGATTTAAAACTAAATGATAAACACACATTGCTAAAATGTTTAATTTCAATAAAGTTAAAATTTAATTTTTAGATATACTTCATTACTCAGAAGACAAAACATTAAAAATACTGGGAATCATTCACTGAATTCCACTTCTAGTGGTTTATTCTACAAAAACAATCAAAATGGATATATCTTTGTGTTTAAAGATGTTCACCATAGCATTGTGTAAAAGCAAACAAAAAACCAAGAGAAGTGTTTTTAAAAAATTAGAAACTTTCTGAATGCACAGTTGATATTTATTTATGTCTTATTTATTTAATTAATTTATTTATTTATGAGACAGAATCTTACTCTGTCGCCCAGGCTGGAGTGCAGTGACGCAATCTTGGCTCACTGCAACCTCTGCCTCCCAGGTTCTAGTGATTGTTTTACCTCAGCCTCTCAAGCTGTTGGGACTACAGGCATGCACCACCATGCCCGGCTAATATTTGTATTTTTAGTAGAGACGGGGTTTCACCATGTTGGCCAGGCTGGTCTCAAACTCCTGACCTCCAGTGATCACCCGTTTTGGCCTCCCAAAGTGATGGGATTACAGGTATGAGTCACTGTGCCCAGCCACAGTTGATAATCTTGAATGTCCATCATGGAAAAAGAGAAAGGTAAGTCTATTTTGTTACGCTCTATATGCTAGAATATTATAAAATAATAAATATTTTAATGAAGTTTAAATAATAAAAAATCTTAACATTAGAATGTTAAACAAAAATGATAAAAAATTATATATACTATAAGCACTGAAATATTTAAATAATAGCTAGGCCCTTACTAAGTGCCAGTGATGTTCTATGTGAATCCCACGTATTAACTTACTTAGTATTTACAATAACCCTGTGGATGGGTACCACTAGTATTTTTTTTCCTCACAATGACCCTATGAGTTGCTACTGCTAGTATTGACACTTTTAAAAGAGCAATTTGATGCACAGATTCATGATGCCTCACAACTATTAAGTAGTAGCGTCAGGATTTATAGCTAGACAATCTGTCTCCGAATCTGTTCTGTTAACCACTAAATTACATTAGAAATACCTAGCAAGAAGAAAGACTGAAAAGAAATATCCTAGACCTACAGTGTTAATAGCATTTATTCATCTACTTTCAAGGGCTTTGCTACTTCTCTTCTTATCTTCTCTTCCCTTCAGCATGAATCTTTCCATTTCTGCTGAATCATTTTCCACTACCTACCATCTTATATAGAATGATATTGCTTCATTATCTACTAAGTTATAGAACCAAAATATATCAAAAACTATGAAAACTAAACAAAATATTCACTTTGTAATTCTGTCTGTTTTAGCAAAACTTTTGGAAGAGCTGTATGTATCTACTCATCTCCCACTTTTCAACCTTTAGAAAAAATTTTATCGAGTTAGTTAAACTAGAACTAGTTTTTCTCATTTTCCTTCCCTGCGTGATTCTGGCTTAATTGGACAATGAGAGGCACTGTCATCAAGATGTAGATGATGGAAATGAAGTCATGTTCTTTTCAGTATAGGAAGGACAGAGGAGGGGACGAGTTGCTACCATAGCTCACGCATGTTTGTCATTTACTGGTGGCTCACCTGGTTGACATGGACAGCAGCTGGGCTCACGGCAACTCCAGCTCCTGCCTCATCTCCTGCTTAAGGGTCACAGACTCCTCAGTCATGTGCATTTTTAACTTGGCAAAGTGCACTCAGTTTATTGACCAAAAAACCCTCCAGTTTTTCTTGCAGTACTACCCTATTGTGAAAGCTGAAGGCTTAGAGGTGAATGGAGACCAATGTCAGTATCATCCTGAATGCATAAGGCTCATTTATCCTTGGAGATTTCAGTTTTTCCTTGTTTCTTCAAGTCACATGCAGGACCAACATCATGTGGAAGCTGCCAAGTCTTGGGGCTTGCACCCTCTGAAGCAATGGCCTGAGCTGTACCTTGGACGCTTTTAGTTACAGCTGGAGTGGCTGAGATGTAGGGCACCCACTCCCTAGGCTACCCAGAGCAGGGCTGTCCTAGACTTGGTCCACAAAACCATTTTCCCTCCTAGGCCTTGGGCCTGTGATGGGAGGGGCTGCCATGAATGTCTCTGACATGTTCTGGAGACATTTTCCCTATTATCTTGGTGATTAATGTTTGGCTCTTCATTACTATACAAATTTCAGCAGCTGGCTTGAATTTCTCCCCAGAAAGTGAGATTTTCTTTTCTACTGCATTGTCAGGTTGAAAACCTTCCAAGCTTTTATGCTCCATCGCCTCTTGAATGCTTTGCTGCTTAGAAATTTCTTCCACCAGATACCCTAAATCATCTCTCTCAAGTTCAAAGTTCCATAGACCTCTAGGGCAGGGGCAAAATGCCACCAGTCTCTTTGTTAAAGCATAGCAAGAGTCACCTTTGTTCCAATTCCCAACAATTTCCTCATCTCCATCTGAGACCACCTCATACTGGACTTCATTGTCCACACCACTATCAGCATTTTGGTCAAAGCCATTCAGCAAGTCTCTAGGAAGTTCCAAACTTTCCCACCTTTTCCTGTCTTCTTCTGAGTCCTTTAAACTATCCAACCTCTGTCTGTTGCCATTCCCAAAGTTGTTTCCACATTTTCAGGTATCTGTATAGGAGTGCCCCACTCCTGGTACCAATTTACTATATTAGTCCATTCTCACACTGCTCTAAGGACATACCCAATACTGGCTAATTTATAAAGGAAAGAGGTTTAATTGACTCAGAGTTCAGCATAGATGGAGAGGCCTAAGGAAACTTACGATCATGGAAGAAGGGGAAGCAAACATGTCTTTCTTGACATGATGGCAGCAAGAAGTGCTTAACAAAGGGGAAACGCCATTTATAAAACCATCAGATGTTGTGAGAACTCATTCCCTATCATGAGAACAGCCTGGGGGCAACTGTCCCCATGATTCTATTACCTCCCACTGGGTCCTTCCCATGACATGTGGGGATTATTGGAATTATAATTCAGGATGAGATTTGTGTGGGAACACAACCAAACCATAGCAGTAGCCTAATCAGTTCCTATCACTTTCTAAGGTCAAATCCCTAGAAAAAAATATTTATTCATGTAATTAGTAATTAGTCCTGATTCTCTGATCAAACGTTGACTGATACAAATCTTGCAAAAAAAATTCTCAAAGCATACATTTGTTTCCTACCAGGCCAATGAAATATTTACAAGTCTTACACATCTCATGCCAATTTTTTCCAGAATTCAGTATATTTAAAACATTTTTTTCTCCTGTTTTCAGCCACACTTAGGATTTTTTTCTTGTACCACTGCAAGTTTTCATTATTCTCTTTTGCAGGCTCTTCTTTCTTACCCCGTTTCTAATTGTCAGAGCCGTTTCAAGGCCAAACTCTTATTTTTATCTCTACCACGTGTAAGTGAAATTCACTTCTGTATACTGATGGCCCAGATTTATAGTTTCTCCCAGGTCCCTTGGACTCCAGACTTGTGTGACCAATCCACCTCCCTGATATTTGTATTTCCATGTTGAGTGTCATTCTCAAATACCATGTGTGAAAAATATAGCTATTGACTTCCTCCCTTCTCTGCCTTTTGAAACTATCTGGGCCAAGTCTACTCTTTCTCAGCAAATGGTACAGACTACCCAGTTACTTAAGCCACTCATTTGAAAGCCTTCCTTGATCACTTTGGTGTTTTTATAGATTTTGCTGTAATTTAACTAAATATAGGATGCCTCAGGATGAGAACAGAGTGGGTACCCAAAAAGTAGTTTTTGAAGTAATTAAAACTGAGTAAAACAACACTGAAGTTTATTTTCTAAGATAAAAATTTGGTATATATTTGTAATAAGATAAATTAATACAACAAACATATATCATAATATGACTTTATCTTCTATCTTCTTTAACAACTTTATTAACAATGATCACTTATGACTTGATTATAATAAGTAAAAGAAGACTTAAAACTAACCCTGAATAGTATCTACTGAACATTACATGGTATGTTCTTATTCACATCTACACACATATTTATTTCACATTTGAGCATTGAAGTTGCTAGAACTTTATTTATAAATGTTTGTTTCATCAATGAATCTATAAAGTTGAAATATAAGAATATTAAGAAGTTATGTTTGAAGGTAAAAGAGATAGCTTCCTGCCTTATACCTATTGTTTACATATATATGAGAACATATAAATCACTTTACTTCTCAAAATCAGTTTTCACATCTGTAAAATGAAGAAAGTATTATTTACTCTAGCTAGTTTACCAACTGGTTGTGAAAGTTATGCAAAACTGTATATCTGGCAGTAATTTTAAATGATGGAATCAAGTGTATTGTAATAGTGCTAAATAAAAACTACAGTTTTACTGTCATTGTTAATTCTTTTAATATTATATTTTTTATTAATACTTCTTGTTTCCCATGTTAAAAACCTGGTGTCAATTTCTGCATATTCCCAGGCAAGCCAAAACGATTTTTCAGCCCTTGCTGTCTTCCTTCCCCTACTTTCCCCCATTCTTAGACCAATAAAAGCATAGGACTTAAAGACAATAGAAATTTTGACCACTAGGAAATACATAGTGGATATAGTTTCCTGTTGTCTTATTCCCAAGGAAAAAATACAATCGAGATCTCAGAACATGGCCTTGAATATATAATATAAAATACATAATGTAATGACCTCCAGTTGAGGCAGGGAGGTATTAAGGGTGCTTATTGAAGACACTTCTCCTCCAGTGAAGTCCCAGTCTTGAGTGACTAACATCTAGATTCAGCTTTTACTTGTCTACTTTGATAAACCTATTGCTTAGTCTGGGCATACTTCCTAATCTCAATGCAACCTGTCTCCCTAATTGTGGGTGAATTTCTCAGCATAAATCCTAGTTCTAGATTTTATGCTCTTATAATATGCTAATAGCTACAACAATAATCATACCAATGAGTACATTTCCTCAGCACCTGCTATGTATGTAGCATTTTATACATACTATTTAATATCATTTTTACAAAACTCTGTGGGGTGGATCTCATTATCATCATTTTAATTTTACGGGAGACGTACTAAGGCAGACCATTTTGTATGGAATAAGCATAGACATAAAGATATGTGAGAGGTAGAATGTGTACATATGTGTATTTAATATACACAAAATGTATATATTACATATGTAAATATATATGTTATACATATAAATGAAATTTTCTATCGAAATTATTTAATCAATTATTAGAATCACTGAGCTTAAGAAAATTATTTTGTTTTATTGTGGTTTCTCTAATACAGGGAGAGGAAGAACAGAACAAGGACACCATGTTAGATTTATAAAGAAATAATGTCAAAATGGTTAATGTAATTCACCAGTTCAATAAACTGGATTACATTTTAGTAGGACAAAAGATCAACGAAAGCTTATTTATATTCATTGGCTGAAGGCTGAAACAGCAACCAGGTAATGCTTTTCCTATCTTTAGGCTCATTACCTGTGGCTATTATATTTGTGGGGTATCATAACATCCAGATGTTTCTGGACAGCTCAGCTGATTTTTTTCTCTATGTACAGATTAAATAATAATGGATAGCAGGTGAAAAAATTCAATCAGTAGTCAAGGTCTGAGATTTATTTTTATGTTGCTATTTTTCATCTCCATATTTTTCAAAAATGTTGATATCTTCATAAAACAGAACTTGAGACACATTCCACTTCTCTCAAGGATGACTATGGTTCAAGGAATGCCTTGTATTTCTTATTTGCATAATATGCTCTTCCATTCCTCTACAGACATGGTAATGAAGTATTATGCTTCCCCCTCTATGATTACTCTTTAAGAAAATAAAATAATAAGGACTTGAAACATTATTTTTCACATTAACTTGTTCTTTCTACAATAGTCAGTGTCACTTCCCTGAAGAGAATATTGTTGGTGTTCCACAGAGAATGGGAGTAATATTTATTTAGTAGATAATTGAGTTCTACTATGTTATCTCTTACCTCTTATTTTATCTAGTTGAATAATAGATTATTTTTTCTAATAAAAATATACACACATACATATATATACACATACATATATATGTTAATAATAGAGAGTTGAAATAGCATTTAGAAGAAAAAAACTGATCTATATGTCCAACAGACAATGATACTACTGTACCATTTTAATGGGTAATCAACAGCATTATTTTCTGTTGGTGGTAGTAATTCATAATATTACCTTCCTCCTTCTTATTATTTAAAGAATAGTTACTGTCATGATAAGCCTTGAAAATAAGGTAAAATGTATTATTAAATACATTTCTTATTGTGTATGTGTGTGTATGTGTACATTTGAAAAAAATGGCATTGCCTATCTTCCTCATATATTTATACTTTAACCAAAATATATACTTGTCTTAATCATCCTCATCATGACACTAAGTGTTGATTAATTGCTTGTTTTTAAATGTCACTTTGACAGCCACTGAACAATGAGAACTGATTGTAAGTAGCTTACCTCCTAGGAGGTTGCAGTCTATGGCACACACCTCTCCCCGGATATATACGTCAAAGAAATATAGGGAGTTAGAATAAAAACGTCAAATTATAAATAGCTTGTGAAATATCTCCAGAATAGAGCAGTCAAAGGCACATCCATGTCAGTACATTTTATATTCAGGGATCAACACAAGTATAATTAAGGTGAAGATCAAAGAGAGTAACTGCAGAGCCTGATGTCCCGACTAGGTGATGATTTACTAACTTAATTATTTCAGAATCTTCTGTGAAAAATGGGGTAACTGCTCTTTAACAGAAGTTGCTCTCAGGTGTGCCATGGAATATGTGATGACATAACACAAATAATTATACCTTATTTATTAAAAAATATATCAGAATACATGATGGAGGGTTCAAGTGAATGCTTTTGGATTCTCTTTGCTTAAATAGAAAATTTGCATGAAATGCCATTGTTTTTCTATGTGTCTCTCAGCTCCGGCAGTCAAGAATCAAGCTTGCTGGACTGAGGAAAACTGAGTTTCTCTAAGATACTTAATGTGAGAAGCATGCAAAAATATATGAATTAAAAAAAACTGGGTTTTTCATCAGCTTCAACCTAGATCTTAGAAACAAAGACTATCAAAGAGTATTAGAAACAAAGAGATTTTAAAAATAAAGAGAACTAGACAAAAATGGTTAAATATTTTACCTTTGACTTAAAAAAGTTTTTCTGGTAAGCTTGTGTAGGTGTATATAAATATGTGTAAACATCTGCATTCTGCAAACTTTAGCATATTGAACATTATTGCTTTCTATATCAAAATTAGCAAGAGTATTTAGGCGCATTGGCCAATCATATATTTGTGATGCAAATTAATAAACAGAAAAGGGAGAAAGATTCAAAGTTTTCTCACAAATTACAGTTTCCTCTAGACAAAATTAGTAATTTCCTACAATCTTCATTTCACCCACTAATTCTACTTACACTTCATTAGAGCATGAGATGTTATAATTTCCATCTCTTTCTCTGTCTCTCTCTTTCAGCAGATGTTTTGTGAAAATAGGGAGGTTTTATTTCAAATCTGTTATTGTAAAAGCAAAATAAGAATAATAAAAAAGATTAGGCCAATGTTCAGTTAAATGTACCTATAACTGTGCACAGAACATTGCTATTTCCCATTGGATTGTTATTTTAAATACTAATTGACTTTACCTGTACTATTTCATTTATCACTTCAGCAATGTTTCAGGGAACACTTTTTTAAGAATGATTTTTTTTAAAGTAAAAGATTTCTTTTCCCAAGTTATTTTGTTTTAAAAAGATTTTATCAGGAATCTAGAGCTGCAGCAATAAATGGATTAAAGTCTAATGAAAATTAATTAAATTAGTGTATTCATGTAAAATGTTTCATTAATTGTCTTAGCATCAGGATAACCAAGAAATAGTGCTGGACAAAGTCTTTATCAGGCCAGCGGGCAATTTTGGCTTAGTTTCTTACTCCTTTTATGGTCTTGAGCTATCTCCATAAATGCATCCTTCCTGGTAACCATAGGAACAGTGTCCACTGTGATTTCTTGAAGTGGAAGAACAGCTAGTGCCTAAAGACATCTACAAGGAAATATATGAACATAATTACACCCTAATTATTATATATGATATCTCACATTGTGTATTAGCTGTTAATGTCCTCTGTGCCTGAATGAAGAATTAGATCTGTGACCTTTCCTCCACAGATGATTCTGATGGATGATATTGAAAGCATATTCTTGAGATTTGGGGGAAAGAAAACTAATGAAGGCAATAAAGTATTTTAATTTTATTCATGATGGAGCTTATGAGTGAAAGCTTTTTTAAAAATCCTATTGTACTTAGGCTGCTTCAAATACATCTGTTGGTGGATGAAAACTCACCTAGTGATTTTTGCATCTGTAAGCTGACATTGCATTTTAGAATGTTTTTTCACTATCCCCGTACCATAAAGAAGAATGTGTACCACCTAAAAAATAATATGCTAGACAATTTAATCAATGTTTTTTCTATTGTGAAATGTGACTGTTAATATTAAATTAAATCTTAATAATTCACTACATTTTCTTTTATGTATATTTATTCCATACACTAAAATGCTATGTTTTCTTCAAAAAAGATATTAAGTGATCAACTTTCTAACCTTAAAGAAATGTATATTTCATGAGGTTCATAGTAGCAAATTCTTAGTTACTTCATTATTTAATCAAGTTTTGTGAATTGATGTGAATCATTAAGACATATACCTTCGGCCGGACATGGTGGCTCACGCCTGTAATTCCACCACTTTGGGAGGCCGAGATGGGAGGACCATGAGGTCAGGAGATCGAGATCATCCTGGTTAACAGAGTGAAACCCCATCTCTACTAAAAACACACACAAAAAATTAGCCAGGCATGGTGGCAGGTGCCTGTAGTCCCAGCTACTAGGGAGGCTGAGGCAGGAGAATGGTGTGAACCCAGAAGTTGGAGCTTGCAGTGAGCCGAGACAGCACCACTGCACTCTAGCCTGGGCAAGAGCGAGACTCCGTCCCCAAAAAAAAAAAAAACATTAAATTAAAATTAAAAAATAAAAAGACATCTATCATCAAGATCTGAAAGTAATGTATATTTTTATTATATAACTATATAGCCTTAGTTAATAGCTTTCATATAAAATAGTTATTTATAAATTAGAATTTTAAAAATGTATAAATTTGGCAAGCATTATATGGTAAATCTTTCAGGGTAGGAGCTTTTTTATAGGTTAGTCTAACAATGTAAGAATCACAATTTTTATAAATTCTCAAACATTATTTTATCTAACAAATACAAATTTTTTATTACAAAATATGAACTGTTCAGATAAATTATGATATTTAAATGACTAGAATTTTATAAAGTCTTTGAATGGAATTTCTTGTTCTGGCAGAATAATAACGTCCTGTGCCTAGTATTCAAACTGATTATCCTAAAGACCAAATAATCAGGGAATAATACATTAACTTTCTATAATTGACATTCCTTCTACTAATATATTATTACATGTATACTATTGCTTATAGTCAATCCAAACTTCTGTTTAAATATAAAACTTCAGAAGACCCTCTATGAGGTTGTGACACTTTACAATCATCACCAGAGTATCCTTGCTCCAGAAAAAGCCACCTTACAATGGCACCGAAGACAGATTTAGCTGAAGTACTAGACTCTCTGCTCTCCAGATTACAGAGCAGGCAATATGGCTGGGGGCCAGGCTGCTGTCTAAGCTCCTATTCCCATGCAGGATTTCTACTTCTCCACAGCCTTTGAAGAATGGTACCTCAGGATGTGAGCAATAGTAAAGGTCCCATCTCAGGTAGTTAATTCTAAGTTCAAACAAGGTGGTTGTTGAACAAATTAGAACTATAATATGTGTTATTGTTTTGTATTTATGCCTGTGCATCCCAGAATTCATACTTGTCTGGTCGAGTGCACACTCTCCAACTCAAAAATGATTCATCTCAAAATTTGCAAGAGTTTTTGGATACAAAATAGGGCCAACTTGTTTCTACCTATTTCTCTCTACTTACAGGTTGTATTTATTCCTGCATTCCCTCTAAGGCTTGATTAGAATCTTCTTGACTATGACAAATCTTTGAACTTCTGGTAGAAGTGGCTGCAAAGAGGTTCTGTTAGGGAAATAGAAAATTATGCCTCCCTCCCCAACTTTGTGTCAATAGAGAAGAGATGGAGAATTATTGAGTATATATGTTAATTATACACATGCAGACAGTCCATGAGAGACTGCAAAGTATGGACAGAAATTCACATAAATTTATACAGTAAAATAAACAAAGCTTCTGTTATCTCCATGAGAAACAAATGGTTACACTTGTGATGGCATCTTGGACCACCATCTTGAGAGACTCTTGAGTGAATTTTGAAGGTATGAATATGAAGGTGCAGAAAGAACTTGACTTTGCCATATAAAATCAAAAGGTTGGGCCTATTATTATTCTCAAGGAGACACTCTAAGGAAGGGAGAGGAATTTGCCACTTTCTCTCCTTAATTAACCTATCGGGGGAACCAGCCCCCAATATTTCACCATAGCTTCTATTTTCCCTAAGTGTCAGCTGGTCTGAGAAATAAAGAGAAAGAGTACAAAGAGAGAAATTTTACAGCTGGGCCTCCGGGGGTGTCATCACATATTGGTAGGACTGTGATGATGACCTCGAGCCTCAAAACCAACAGTTTTTATTAGGGATTTTAAAAGCGGAGGGGGTATACAAACATGGAGTAGGTCACAAGGATCACATGCTTCAAAGGGCCATAAAGATCACAAGGCAAAGGCAAAATTAGAATTACTGATGAGGGTCTATGTCCCGCTGTGCAAGCATTGTCTTGATAAACATCTTAACAGGAAACAGGGTTTGAGAGCAGAGAACCAGTCTGACTCGAATTTACCAGGCTGGAATTTCCCAATCCTAGTAAGCCTGAGGGTACTGCAGGAAACCAGGGCATATTTCAGTCTGTATCTCAACTGCATAAGACAGACACTCGCAGAGCAGCCATTTATAGACCTACCCCCAGGAATGCATTCCTTCCCCAGGGTTGTTCCTTGCTGGGAAAAAAAATCAGCGATATTTCTCCTACCAGCACATCCATCTATAGGCTTTCTGCAAGAAGAAAAATATGGCTCTATTCTGCCCAACCCTGCAGGCAGTCAGACCTTATGGTTATCTTCCCTTGTTCCCTGAAAATTGCTGTTATTCTGTTCTTTTTCAGGGTGCACTGATTTCATATTGTTCAAACACACGTTTTACAATCCATTTGTACAATAGTGATGCTGAGGTGACGTACATTCTCAGCTTATGAAGATAACAGGATTAAGAGATTAAAGTAAAGACAGGCATAAGAAATTATAAGAGTATTATTAGGGAAGTGATAAGTGTTCACAATTTATGTTCAGAGATTGCAGTAAACACAGGCGTAAGAAATTACAAAAGTATTAATTTTGGGAACTGATAAATGTCCATGAAATCTTCACAATTTATGTTCTGCCTCGGCTCCAGCTGGTCCCTCCATTCTGGGTTCCTTACTTCCCGCAACATTAACCAAAGAAAATTTCCTTATTTTAATCTTATAATTTCTTCCATAACGAAATACCTTGGAACCCACATGCAGATTTGTATTTCTGCAGCCATCTTTAGTTTGTCAAATATCAATACATACATAATAATAAATGTTATATAATGTAACCAATAAGTTGCTACCCATTACATGATTAAAATCATATTAATAAAAGTCATACTGAGAAGTTTGGAACCTGGGTTTTTAAACAGGAAGGCTAAATTCTTACAAGTGTGAGAAATTAGACATTTTTATGCTAGGTACATCCAGGTGTCATCCTGGCTTTACATCTGCTTTTGAGAAATAGGGAAATGGTAAACAGTCATATTTCTTTGAAAAACAGAAACAGAACAAAAAAAGTGCTGAAGCTGCAGAACTGATGACTTTTTAAAGATTTAGATGTAGAACACAATTAAGCTGGGTGATATTTATCAAAGTGCTCTATGTCTGCATCTCAGAATCCCTTATATCTGTTCCAAAGTAAATCTTTCTAAAGAATAAAAACTTTTGTCCATTCAACCATAATTTTTGTCACAATATCCAATTTTACTAGTACTTTATGGTTTCACTACTATTTCCTATATGGTATTTTATTTCATTCCTATAACCTGATGAATTTAATATTATTATTATATATACATAATAAAAAACAAAGATTAGAAATATCAGTTGATTTTCCCAAGGTCATGTAGCCAGTAAGTGAAGAGGTCAAACTTCTGACACCAAAGCCACAACTCAAAAACATAGTGCCTGTCTTGTTTACAGAGTTATACTTGGGTATACAAAAGTGAAGCGTGAATCACAGTCTTTGAAATGTAAGAAGGTGAAATATTTTAGGGGACAAAAGGAAGAAAATATGAACACATAGAGTCTTTAAATATTGTTTAAACTTTATGAAGTAGTGTCTAATACCAAATTGTATATGCAAGAAAGAGATGCTTTATGCATTTAGAGAAAAAGATTATGTATGTTGAAATGTTCAGGCAAATATTCACGATGAAAGTAGGACCTGTATTCAAACTTGAAAGCTGGTTAAGATTTTGAGAGATGTGAGAAACAGGAGTCAAGGCAACATTTTAATTGTGTCTCACCTAATTCTTGGAGAATAAAGACACTAGTCCATGTCAGTATCCCAGATATTTCAGGGACTTATACTAAGTAAGATCTGAAACTACATAAAAAGTAATTTGAACTTTTATGGCAGTTTTAAGCTGACAGTAAGTTTATGTAAGGTGCTAGTCAATAAATAAATATATTGTCCACAACTGAAATAATGATCTGATATTGATGCCTACTTTAAGTAATATATAAAATGGTAAATTAAAGTCCATAATTCTCAAGACCCTCTTTTAGGTTGTTTTGGATTTTGTTGTTATTTTATTTTTTATTACTAACAGAAGCTCTTTTCCATGGCCAGCTCTGACTTTAATTTCTTCTTTTATCTAACTTAGACTCTAAGTATTCATACTTTCCCTGATCACATCTCATTCCTCTTCCACTTACAAAAGGAGAGACCCAGAGCTTCGTGAATAAATTACTCATGAAAAGTGGCACTTTGAAGGCAGAAAGGGATGAGTCTTTCACAAATCACAGGTCAAAATGTTGAACATGGAAGGAAGTCAGTACAAAAAGCCTATGGACATACTGGCAGCACTGAGAATGCCTTTCTTCCCCATTCTTTCATTATAAATTTTAGGTTTTCACATTATAATACCTTTAAATAGTTTAAGTTCTGAACCCTCTGGCCTACATAAATTTGCATAGCTGGATTAATCTCATAGAGTTTAAGTACTTAACCTAAATTTAATCTAGCATTAGAGTGAAATAATTATGTCAAAATACCTGTCTTGCAAATGTAATCAATTTAAAATAATATATCTTTGCGTTTTTATATGAAGATTTAATTTCAGCTGAAATGACTGGCTAATATCAATATTACAAATGGCATAACCAAACTGTTAAATTGACTCACAGTCTAAAAAGTAAGTATGGAAGGCAAATTTCCGCTATTAAACTAATAAGCAAGGAGCACCACTTGTAGTGCAATGCATTGTTATTTTAGGACTTCTGAATAATAGAGCAACATTAACTGGGACAATAAAGAATAAAGCATCGTGAAGTGTGGCAAAATGAATTCATCAAAAATGTATGAACTACTAAAAAAGTTTAAACTGTACATAAACACATAGGTCTTGGACGATTCATAGAAAAGTAGTAATCCAGATAACATTATTGTATTAGCAAAAAGCCTGGACTTTGTGTGATATGAGCAAGATTTTGAACTTGAGCTAAAAAGCACATCTATTTGAAAAAGAGGATCTTAATCATCAAAGCAAGGCAGCCTAGGACAGAGATAAAATGGAAAATAATGTTTATTTAAACATTACAAATGTATCAGGAACTCTGTTAAATTACTCTGTTAACTAAATGTTAAATAACTCTGTTATTGAATTCAACAAATTGACCTAAGTTATAGAGGAACCCCAAGATTTGTCTTGCCAGTGGTATTACAACATATTAAAAAACCATAGTGTATTCAGATTTCTGACTTTCACAAAGTAAATCCTTTGCTGTGCTATAGTCATAACATACATCTCATTCATTAACTGGGACAGAAACGTTAGTAAAATGCATCTATTTAAAGGTTAATATTTTATTTACTATAGCACCATAAACACTAATGCCCAGAAATATGAGTTTACTTTGTTGTAACTTATTACAGAAACTAAATGCAGGTACTGTTGTCTTAATCCAGCCCAGCCATATATACAGAAATCTACTAAAAGCATATGAGAAATATAAAAAAAAAAATTAAAATGCTCCAGATTTGATTCTCAATTATGTTACTCTTAAGTTTTAGGAGCCAATAGAAAATACATTACTATTTTAAATTGTATTAATATTTAATAAATTTAATAACAAAAAGCAAAATGGTGAGGCAAGATCATTATTGATGACATTATTATCATGTTAGGGACATGATAAGCAAGTAGTGGTCAGAATAATCAACCTTCATGAAATTTTCCTACATTTTATTTTAGGAGTAATTTGCAAATAACAAAATAAGCTAAGATTGGGAATTTATTTTACAAATCCTGAAAATAACCTGGGCGTAGTATAAATTTAATCAATACAATTCACTTAAGTATTTAATTAATCTCTAATGCATCTCATGTAAATAATGGCTATTCAGACTGATAAACCTGCCATACTGCAAGTGTTGAATAACTCACAAAAGAGAGAAAATACTTAGATTTATCATACTCTAGTTTGAATATACCATTTATTAAGTTTTGTTTGTTCTCCCTAGGTCTAGCATTAAGATATTCAATCTAATAAACTTAAAAGTTTTTCACAATGAAAGAGGGAGGATATTCTATTAACTAACATCAGAATGCTCACATTGCGGGGGACAATCACACCAAATTATGGTAACTGCCATAAATATTCACTTTTAAGATATAATTTGACATCTGTAGTAATAATGGTAATCAGAAACTCAACTGCCATTACTTGGTATCAACTTTATACTTGCAATATACTAAATGTCTCACTTCTTTTCACATTTTCTTCCCAGGACAAGTGAGTTTGAGAAACTTAGCTGAAATCACATATTTTTCAAATAGTAAAACTTTGGTTTGTCTGTCCTGTCAAGTATCTAGTCACTGCATTCTACTTAAAACACACTAGGAAACACACTGTATTACTTTAAGATTAAATTAATTCTTTATTCTGATATTAACTCCTTATTAGCAAGAAATTCACTAAATTTTGAAATTGTTTTTCACCTTCCCTACCTCTGAACCTACAAGCTGGCCCCTTTTTCTCTTTTGAAGCTGTGGGAAGATAAGGATAAAGGCATATTTGCAAGTTTTTGGCAGCATTAATTGCAGTGTCTGAAGCAAATTCACATTTTGCAGCCTTGAAAAATGAAAGATGCAGTGAGGGGGCGAAGATGGAGGACAACTGAGAATTTCTTTCTGCTTTATACCACTTACTGTATGTTGATTTCTAGTAATTAACCTTGAGCAAAATCTCATATTTCAATTTTTTAATTTTTAGACTAAAATTTGATACAGGTTTAATATATTTTTGTGTAATTTCTGTAGCCTTTTTCCCCATGATTTCTCAGAATTACTTATAATTGCCCTATTTTATTTTTATATGTCCAAAAAGGCATGGTTATCAAGGGTAATTATTATATTAATAAAAAGTAATAGATCATTTATTTGCAAATTGTTTTATAATATTAAAACATTTTTACTTAAATTATTATGCTGTTCCATTTTCAGAATAATTCTTTGAGATAGAGATAAATTACTATTTCTGTTATTGCATGGGGATAATTGGGACAAACTATACTACATCAGCCAAAGGGAGGAAGAATAATAATTTTCTTTCTTTTTCTTTGTCTCCATTGATTTGTTAACCATTGGTGAAACATCAACAAACTTTACAAATAATACATGAGCATAAAGCAAATGAAACTGTATTGAAGATTGATGCATAAATGACCCACACAAAAACCAATAAAATCAAAGATAAATGAATCACAATTCTTGCAAAGTTTATTTTTTAGAATGCTTTAACTGTGTATCAATTACTCTAATATCATGATTTCAATAAATAATGTGGCATTCTTAGGGAAAAGGAACACATTACAAATCAATGCAAAACAATGATTTAGCCACAAGAGTTTAACAGCAACAGCAAGCTTTGTTTTTCTCCCCTCTGGGAGACATTTCTGAAACAGATTTTTTTCAGAAGCTCTGCAAACAAAGCTTTGCATGTATCATCACATTGTCATTTCTCTCCTTCTGGCTATCTTTATTCATAAACCTCAAATATTATTGAATTTGTTTATTTGCTATGTGGTTGGAATTACTCTTAACTAGAAACTGGGGATTTCGAATCCTCTTAAGCCAAATTATTTTCCTTCTCAACTATGCACTAATGCTCTCATGATTTCTTGTTGATAATATAACATGTTCTTTAATCAGCACTTTCACTAATACAGTAGGACTTACATGGTTTCAGACTTCTCCTGCCTTGCTTGTACTTTCCCCCAGGTATGAATTATAAGGGACATCAATGTGTGACACAGAGTGGAAAATTAGACCAGCTCACATCACCTTATTTCAAATTCTTACTTTATTTCCCTATTGAGAAAAATTTCACCTTACATATACTATAGAATTCACTAACGGTATATTTGCATCAGGATTAGAGGTACTTAGAGCATCAGATCTACTTCTAAGTCCATTTCCATTTCAAAATCATGTTTACTTACTGTTTATATCAGACATAGCCTACATTTTGGCTTTACATAGGGGGAAGGGAAAAGATGAGGGTGGCTGTAGGGAGACCCCCTGAAACTATTGCTACAGAATAAAAGATGAAATGCTCCTGATTATTGTAAATACAAAGTTGCATGCAGGATTGTGTAAAGACAATGCTAGGTTGGACTGCCAGAACGAGCCAACAGCGCGTGATGTGCTTCCCCCTGCAGAGAGCCTATGAATGGACGTGCAGTCAGGGAGGTTTCACATCACCAAGATTCCTATCCCAGAAAAGCACATGTTCATAGCTCTGGGAATGGAATGCGACCCTTGTGGAGAGCCTATAAATAGACGCATGGGGGGGCACCTGTCCATATGGATAAGATAGGGCTATAAACGCCCTCATCTTGCCACGGCTCTTCCAGGCCTCTTTAGGGTTAAGGCATACTCCCTTCTGAGAATTTCTGGTCTAACCGGTTGTCTAGCTTCACGTCCTGTTTCCATGGATTGTTTGTAACCAACTTTTGTGGCAATTGTTACTGCTGATTAATATCTTGCTAATCATAGGTTATGGAAAGATTGTGTTTCTGTTTTAAGGCTCTGTTAGAAATTACTGATGCACACACTATATTGTAAATTCTTATCTCTGTATACTGTACTTCTACATACAAATGTACTATACTTCTACATACAAATGTTATGTTAAAGAATTACTTCATCCCCAAGTGACCATCTCACCTCATAATCAAATGACCCTAAATCCCTCACTAACCTACGCCCGCCCTCGCTAAACTTAATAATAAATGCTGGTATATCCAGTGCATTGTTGGCACTGCGGGACCAGAAGGTGGTGACCCCCCTGGACCCAGCTTTCACTATCATGTGTGTGTCTATTATTTCTCAACCTGCCGATCCACCTAGGAAAAAAGAGAGAGCCCCGTTGCATTGCGGGCTGCTGGCCAGATCCCACAATAGGTGGCTAACACAGTTTTAACTCCATTCACAAAAACTGATTTTTAGTAAATAAAGGCTTTTAAAAAAAATTTGAGCTAGCATAACCTGAAAATTTTAAAAATATTATATGTACATATTTTTCTATATATTGTAATGAATTTGGTTTTATAATATGATGATATATTGGGATCTCTACACTTTATTACATATAGAAATACTTGTATATGGAATGTGGGGAATTTTAAGTTAAGTTTCAAACAGAGACAATACTAATGAATTTAAAATACATCTATTTATTAAGAGATTAACTTAATTATTATTATTTATGATTATTTAGCATGAAGAAAATTAAGGCAAAACCAGAAATATATTAGCCTTTAAGTATAAGAGCTATTGCCCAAATGCAAGTAAGAGGTTTTTTAAATGAATATGAGACATAAAATACAAAGTATTCAAAACTTTTATTTCATTAAAATTATACTCTATAATTAAGTTCCATATTTCAAATACTATTACTATTAGCTTTATCATATGGCTCATCATATTATTTATTTTTACTCTAAAAGACTTTTAGACCCTTCCTAATATCAAATTAATTCCAAGAGGTAAAAATAATATCACTGATGCTATTTAAAAGTGATAGCCTTAGTCTCTCCCCTTTATGGTCCTTATTGTTCTTTTATTAGGTTATTTAAAAAAAATTATCTGAGATACTTCAATACTTCTGCTATAATCTTATTACAGTTCTATTTACCAACCTGATGAAGTCTAAATTCATTCCTCATCTGGTTTCAGATTGAATTTTAGCTTAAATTTAAATATTTCCTACTCACTTGGAGTCCATCCATATCAACTTACTCTTTACATGTACAAACTTATGTGTTTATTTATTTCTGCTATGTTGTACATGGTATTTCCTTAATTTGAGATGTCTTATATACAATATCTTTAGCCTCAATAGTGTATACCAATCTTTTTGGAATAAATCATGCTTTTACCCTCTATATAGTCTTCCTTTTAATCTTTTACTTTGTAATTAGTAATGCTAGCTCCTGTTGGTCTGCCACATCTATCAAGCCCAGGACACAATCTGAATTTTGCCGTTCACTTTAGTATTTTAATGTTTGGTTCTTCATATTAAAATTATTATCCTGATCTCACACAGATAATTGATTTCCCCAGAATCAACGAATAGGGTTGGTGGCATCAAGTCTAGGATGTTAGTTCAACTATGGAACTATTTATAATCACTGCATCATTTTGAAACTGAACATTAGGCCCTCTTTCTACCTGATCATAGCTATATAATACTTCTTGTCATTTCTTTCTGCTTTTGTTACATTCCTTACATTTTCTGTAACTCTCTATGTTGACCCCTCTCTACTCACAACACAGAAATAAATATTATGCTTTATAGAAATACTATGTAGACTTCATAAAAGAAACAGAGCACTGTATATAGCTACCTAATCTGTCTTTTTACTTATATTGGATAATCAAGCATGAGGCTGTGTCCCCCACAATGTAGGCGCTCAACAAATGTTTGTTGAACAACGAATAAATAAATAACAAACATTTCAATTTTTGACATGCTAAGTTAGAATTAACAAAACCATACTATTTGCACTGAATTTTTTTGGTGTTTTATTTTCTAGAGCATTCTAGGTTATATCCAGTTAATTTAAATAGAATGTGATAATTATCAAGGAAAGTCTAAAAAATGTAGAAAGAAATATATTCCTGCTTTGCCTTCAAGAAGGCTTAACTACTTCTTCAGGAGACTATCTCTAATAACGTTAATTCTCTGTTTTAAGTCACAGGTTCCTGAGAACAATTACTATACGCAGAATGAAAATAGCTCATGCCATTCAGGTCAAAAATGACTCATATCAAATGTCAAAGGTCAAGAAATTGAAAATATAAGCTGCTATTTTCTAGAATAACCCTCTACAAGAGGACATTTAAGCCTAGCAGTGCTGCCTAGAACTGAATGAATCCATAACATTAATGAACATTGTTTCTAAACACAATTTCAAAAAAAGTATTCAAACATTTCTTTTCACCAAGGGAGACACCTTCAGAATGAAATTTCTGTGATATGCCTGAAGTAAATCAATCTCTGTGCCATGAAATTTTCCAAAATATTTGTTAAAAGTAACAATCATCTTACTTAATCCTTCAAGCTTGTTAATTACTACAACACTTAGCAGAATGAGAAAGACTGGTATAAAAAGATTGAGATGTACTATATTCTTTATTCAGTTCAAAAATAGTTTTTCATCGCATCTACTCGATATTAGTCCTGGAAAACTCCGCGATTTATAGAAAATGCATCTTTTTATTTATTAAGATAGGAAAAAAAGGACTTCTATTTTAATCAGTTTGGACTTCTATAACGAATTACCATACACTGGGTTATTTAAATAAGAGAAATTTATTTCTCATAGTTCTGGAGTCTGTAAAATCAAAGATCAAGGTACTGGTATATCCAGTGTCCAGTGAAGGCAGGACTATTTCCATGGTTGGTAGATGTCCACTTTCTTGTATCCTCACATGGCAGAGAGCAGAGAAAGCGGAAGAAAACTCTCTCCTGTCTGTTTTTATAAGGGTGCTACTTCCATCATGAGGGCTCTTGTGACCTAATTACCTCCCACAGACCCCATCTCCAAATACTATAACATTGGTAATTAGAGTTTCAACATACGAATTTTAGAAGAATACATTTAGTCCATACGCTCCACCCCTAGCCTCCCCGAATTCATATTCTTCTCACATGCCAAATGCATTGATTCTATCCCAACATTCCCCAAAGTCTTCAGTTATTTCAGCATCAACTCTAAAATTAAAAGTCCAAAGTCTCAGCTAAATATTATCTAAATCAGGGACAAATGAGACTTGTGGTAAAATTCATCCTGCAGTAAAATTGCTCTCCAGCTGTGAAGCTGTGAAACAAAGTAATGTGCTTCAGAAGTACAATGGTGGGAGAGGCATAGGATAGACATTTCCATTCCAAAAGAGACAAATAGGAAGGAAAGAAGAGGTGAGAGTTCCCAAACAAACTCAAAACTTAGCAAGGCAAAGTCCATGATATCCTAAGCCTCAAGAATAATCCTCTTTGCTTTAATGGCTCTGCTTTCCAGACCCCCTGGGGTGGCACCTTCACTTCCACAACCTGACATAATGCTGTCCATGCCAGGTTCCCCAGAAACAAACATTCAGTCCATAGAAATTTGTGCTTGAAAGTTTTTCATCACTAATATATATTAGCAGGCATCTTTGTATCCGTTAGGTAAAGAGTAGCTCATTTTGGAATTAGAGAATTGGAAAAACAAAGCCAAGTGAATCAGGGTACATGCATACGTGTGTGTGTGTGTGTGTGTGTGTGTGTGTGTGTGTGTGTAGAAAGAAGGCATACAGTTTAAGGAAGACAACATTAAAATTTTAGGACATAGAAACCAATGGAGGAGACCACCCCTCATATTGTCTTATACCCAATTTCTGTCTCCAAAGAAAGAAGTAAAAACTAAAAGGCAGAAATGAAATCCACAAGCAGGCAGCCCGGCGCCACATCCTGGGCCTGGTAGTTAAAGATTGACCAGGACCTAATCAGTTATTTGCATAAGAAAAGCACTGTGAAGATCCCTGTCCTGTTCCATTCTAATTACCAGTGCATGCAGCCCCCAGTCATGTACCTACCCCCTGTTGCACAATCGATCACGACCCTCTCACACAGACCCCCTTAGAGTTGTGAACCCTTAAAAGGGACAGGAGTTGCTCACTCAGGGAGCTCGGTTGTTGAAGACATGAGTCTTGCTAAAGTTCCTGGCTGAATAAAGCCCTTCCTTCTTTAACACGGTGTCTGAGGGGTTCTTGTCTGCAGCTTGTCCTGCTGCATTTCTTGGTTCCCTGACCAGGAAGCGAGGTGATTAACAGATGGTAGAGGCAGCCCCTTAGGTGACTTAGGCCTGCCCTGTGGAGCAACCCCAAGGGGGACTCCACCAGCTTGAGCAACGCAGGACGCGGATCCTGAGAGCGCTCCCGGGTGGGCAATTGCCCCGGTGGAACGCCTCACCAAAGCAGCGCTTGACAGGCCCCCGTGGAGGATCAACGCAGTGGCTGAACACCGTGAAGGAACTGGCACTTGGAGTCTGGACATCTGAAACTTGGTAAGACTAGTCTTTGGAACTTGCCTACTCCATTTGAGCAGAAGCGTGGCCTGATCACTCATGGCATGTCCGTACCAACACTTTGTTTTTTTGTTTTTGACTTGATTTGGATTGCTTGATACTTTGGTTTTAGTTTTGACCTGGCTTGGACTTCTTGATACTCTGATTTCGGTTCTGATTCTGATTTGGTGTAAACTGAAAAAGTGTGTGTATGCCCTTTTTACCTGTTCTTTGTTTTGTGGTGTATGTGTGGTGTGAGCATGGTGTTTTGTCTTGAGAAAACATGGGTCAGGCACAAAGTAAGCCCATCCCACTAGGAACTATGTTGAAAAATTTCAAAAAGGGATTTAAGGGAGACTATGGAGTTACTATGACACCTGGAAAACTTAGAACTTTGTGTGAGATAGACTGGCCAGCATTAAAGGTGGGTTGGCCATCAGAAGGAAGCCTGGACAGGTCCCTTGTCTTGAAGGTATGGCACAGGGTAACCTGTAAGCCAGGGCACCCAGATCAGTTTCCGTATATAGATTCTTGGTTACAGCTAGTTTTGGACCCCCACAGTGGTTAAGAAGACAGGCAGCAACAGTACTAGTAGCAAAGAGACAGTTAGTTAAGGAAGGTTCGTGCTCCACCCACCGAGGGAAGTCAGCACCAAAAAGTCCTGTCCAACCCAACACCAGAAGAATCATGGCAGGAATTGGTACCAGCAGCACCCCCCCCCCGCCTATCGAGAGGAAGGACTCCCAACTCCTGAGCCCACAGCACCTACATCTCCACCAGATAGCAACGCTCCTAGACCACCCAGAGTAGACAAAAGAGGAAGTGAAGCCGCAGGAGAAACTCCTCCCTTGGCAGCTTGCTTACGGCCCAAGACTGGAATCCAAATGCCCCTGAGAGAGCAGCGATATACTGGGGTAGATGAGGATGGACACCTGGTGGAAAGGCGTGCCTTTGTGTATCAACCTTTCACCTCTGCTGAACTCCTCAAATGGAAAAATAATACTCCATCTTACACCGAAAAGCTTCAAGCTTTAATTGACTTGCTCCAAACTATTATACAGACTCATAATCCTACTTGCCCCCAAGTAGGATTGCCACCAGCTGCTCATGTACCTCTTTAATACAGATGAAAGGCGAAGGGTGCTCCCGGCAGCAACTAAGTGGCTAGAGGAGCACGTCCCAGCCAATTACCAAAATCCCCAAGAATATATAAGAATTCAGCTGCCAGGAACAGACCCCCAATGGGACCCGAATGAGGGACCAGACATGGAGAGGCTAAGACGGTAACGTGAGGCATTAATAGAAGGTCTAAAGAAAGGGGCTCAAAAGGCTACAAATGTAAATAAGGTTTCTGAGGTCATCCAAGGAAAAGAGGAGAGTCCAGCACAATTCTATGTAAGACTGTGTGAGGCTTACGGTATGTACACTCCTTTTGATCCAGATAGCCCTGAAAATCAGCGCATGATTAACATGGCTTTAGTTAGTCAAAGTGCAGAAGATATCAGGAGAAAATTGCAGAAACAGGCTGGGTTTGCGGGTATGAATACCTCACAGTCACTGGAAATAGCCAATCAAGTGTTTGTAAATAGAGATGCAACAAGCCGCAGAGAAAGCCGTAAGGAAGGCGAACTCCAGGCCAGGTGAAACGCCAACTTACTGGCCACGGCTGTTAGGGGAATTCCCCTGAAAGGAGAGGGAAAGGGGGGTTCCGGGAAGAATACCCAGTCTAATCGCCCACGCTTGCAATGTAACCAATGTGCCTATTGTAAGGAAATAGGATATTGGAAAGATAAGTGTCCCCAACTGAAGGAAAAGCAAGGCGATTCGGAACAAAAGACCTCAGATAAAGATGATGGAGCTTTGTTCAATCTGGTTGAAGGGCTATTGGACTGAAGGGGACCAGGCTCAAGCACTCCCAAGGAGCCCATGGTCAGGATTACAATTGGGGGCAAGGACATTAGGTTTTTGGTCGATACTGGTGCTGAACATTCAGTAGTGACCATCCCGGCCACCCCCTTATCCAAGAAAACCATTGATATAATGGGAGCAACAGGAGTTTCCACTAAGCAGACAGTCTACCATGGACCTGCTTGGTGGGGGGACATGAAATAGTTCACCAGTTCTTGTACATGCCTGACTGTCCCTTGCCCTTGCTGGGAAGAGACTGGCTTAGCAAGTTGAGAGCCACCATCTCCTTTACAAAACAGGGCTCTTTACAGCTAAAGTTACCGGGAACAGGAGTTGTCATGGCTCTTATGGTCTCCCGGGAAGAAGAATGGAGACTTTTTCTAACCGAGCCAGGCCAAGAGATAAAACCAGCTCTAGCTAAGTGATGGCCTTGAGTATGGGCAGAGGATAATGCTCCGGGACTGGCGGTCAACCAATCCCCCGTATTCATAGAAGTTAAGCCTGGGGCCCAACCAATTAGACAAAAGCAGTATCCGGTTCCCAGAGAAGCTCTTGAAAGAATCCAGGTTCATCTCAGGCGCTTGAAAGCCTATGGAATTATAGTTCCTTGCCAGTCTCCATGGAACATCCCCCTCCTGCCTGTCCCTAAGCCAGGGACCAAGGACTACCGACCAGTACAGGACTTGCACTTGGTCAACTAAGCTACAGTGACTCTGCACCCAACAGTTCCTAACCGTTACACATTGTTAGGGCTGCTGCCGGCTGAGGATAGCTGGTTTACCTGTCTGGACTTAAAAGATGCCTTCTTTAGCATCAGAATAGCTCCCCAGAGCCAGAAGCTGTTTGCCTTTCAGTGGGAAGATCCGGAGTCAGGTGTCACTACTCAGTACACTTGGACCTGGCTTCCCCAAGGGTTCAAGAACTCCACTACTATCTTCAGGGAGGCCCTGGCTTGAGACCTGCAAAAGTTTCCTGCTAAAGAGCTAGGTTGTCTTGCTCCCGTACGGGGACGACTTTCTGCTGGGACACTCCACAGCAGTCTGGTGCGCAAAAGGGACGGATGCCCTGCTTTGGCACCTGGAGGACTGTGGGTATAAGGTGTCCAAGAAGAAAGCTCAGATCTGCAGACAGCAGGTACGCTACCTGGGATTCACTATTCGGAAAGGGGAGCACAGCCTGGGATCAGAAAGAAAGCAGGTCGTCTACAGCCTACCAGAACCTACAACCAGAAGGCTAGTAAGGGAATTCCTAGGAGCTGTGGGGTTTTGCAGATTATGGATTCCAAACTTTGCACTGCTAGCCAAACCTTTGTATGGGGTTACAAAGGGGGGCGACTGGGAGCCCTTTGAATGGGGGCCTCTACAACAGCAAGCCTTTTGTAAGTTAAAGGAAAAACTTATGTTGGCCCCAGCCCTAGGACTACCAGATTTGACAAAGCCCTTTACAATCTGTGTGCCAGAAAGAGAAAAAATGGCAGTTGGAGTTTTAATCCAGACTGTGGGGCCCTGGCCAAGGCCAGTGGCCTCTCAAAACAACTACATGGGGTTTTCAAAGGCTGGCCACCATGTCTAAGGGCCCTGGAAGCAACAGCCCTGTTAGCACAAGCAGATAAACCCTTGGGCAAAACCGGAATATAAAGGCCCCCCCATGCTGTGGTAACTTTGATGAATATCAAAGGACATCATTGGCTAACAAATGCTAGATTAACCAAGTACCAAAGCTTGCTAAGTGAAAATCCCCACATAACCACTGAAGTCTGTAACACCCTAAATCCCGCCACCCTGCTCCCAGTATCAGAGAGCCCAGTCGAGCATAGCTGTGTAGAGGTGTTGGACTCAGTCTATTCTAGCAGACCTGACCCTCGGGACCAGCCATGGGCATCAGTAGACTGGGAGTCATACGTAGACGGAAACAGCTTCATCAACTCACAAGGAGAAAGATGTGCAGGATATGCGGTGGTAACTTTAGATGCTGTCATTGAAGTCAAACTGCTGCCACAGGGCACTTCAGCCCAGAAGGCTGAGCTCACTGCTTTAACTCGGGCTGTAGAACTCAGTGAAGGTTAAGACTGTAAACATCTACACTGACTCTCGAAATGACTTTCCAACCCTCCAAGTGCATGGAGCATTATATAAGGAAAAGGGCCTGTTAAACTCTGGGGGAAAGGACATAAAATATCAACAGAAATTCTACAATTACTGGAGGCAGTGTGGAAACCTCAGAAGGTGGCAGTCATGCACTGCAGGGGAAACCAGCGAGCCTCCACCTCAGTGGCATTAGGAAACTCTCAAGCTGATTCAGAAGCTCGAAAAGCAGCATCTACCCCTTACTGGGCATCGATAGCAGCCCCCTTACTCCCTCAAACACCTGACCCGGTACCTACCTATTCTAAAGAAGAAAAAGACTTCTTCCATGCAGACGGGAGGCAAATAATAAAAGGAGGATGGATCAGACTGCCAGATGGGAGAGTAGCTGTGCCGCAGTTGCTGGGAGCCACAATCATATTGGCCATGCACGAAACCACTCATCTAGGTCAAGAGTCATTTGAAAAATTGTTAGGCTAGTACTTCTACATCTCACACTTGCCAACCTTTGCCAGAGCAGTAGCACAACGGTGCGTTACTTGCCGACAGCATAATGCGAGGCGAGGCCCCACTCTTCCACCTGGCATACAAGCTTACAGAATGGCTCCTTTTGAGGATCTTCAAGTGGATTTCACAGAAATGCCAAAATGTGGAGGTAACAAGTATTTGCTGGTTCTTGTGTGTACTTACTCTGGGTGGGTGGAGGCTTATCCAACACGAACTGAAAAGGCCTATGAGGTAACCCGTGTGCTTCTCCGAGATCTTATTCCTAGGTTTGGACTGCCCTTACTAATCAGCTCAGATAACAGACCGGCATTTGTGGGTGACTTGGTACAGAAGAGAGCAAAGGCATTAGGAATCACTTGGAAGCTACATGCCACCTACCGACCTCAGAGTTCCAGAAAGGTGAAGCAAATAAATTGGACTATCAAAAATAATTTAGGGAAAGTATGTCAGGAAACAGGATTAAAGTGGATAAGGCCCTTCCTCTGGTATTGTTTAAAATTAGATGCACTCCTTCTAAGAAAACAAGATACTCCCCTTATGAAATACTGTATCATAGGCTTCCTCCTATACTACAGGGGCTTCCAGGCACTCCCCGAGAGTTAGGTGAAATTGAATTACAGTGACAGCTACAGGCTTTAGGAAAAATTACACAAACAATCTCAACTTGGGTAAATGAGAGGTGTCCCATCAGCTTATTCTCCCCAGTTCACCCCTTCTCTCCAGGCGATCACGTGTGGATCAAGGACTGGAACGTAGCCCCTTTGCAGCCATGGTGGAAAGGACCTCAGATCGTCATCCTGACCATCCCCACGGCTGTAAAGGTAGAAGGAATCCCAGCCTGGATCCACCACAGCCATGTGAAACCTGCAGCTGCTGAAACCTGGGAGGCAAAACCGAGCCGGGACAACCCCTGCAAAGTGACTCTCAGGAGGATGAAAAGCCCTGCTCCAGTCACACCCGGAAGCTGACTGGTCTCTACGCATGGCCGAAGCATGAGGAAGATCATCGTGGGACTCATTTTCCTTATAATTTGGACTTGTATAGTAAAAACTTCCACTGATTTTCCCCGCACGGAGGACTGTTCTCAGTGTATACATCAGGTTACCGAGGTAGGGCAACAAGTTAAAACAATCTTTCTGTTCTATAGTTACTATGAATGCCTAGGAACTTTAAGAAGAACATGTTTATATAATGACATTCAGTACAAGGTATGTAGCCCAGGAAACGACTGCCCAGATGTGTGTTATGATCCCTCCGAGCCTCCCATGTCCACAGTTTTTGAAATAAGATTAAGGACTGAAGACTGGTGGGGACTCATAAATGATACAAGTAAAGTATTAGCCAGAACAGAAGAAAAAGGGGTGCCCAAACGCATAATCTTGAAATTTGATGCCTGTGCTGTCATTAATAGCAATAAGTTAGGAAGGGGGTGTGGCTCTTTTAGTTGGGAAAAAGGCTATATGACTGAAAATAAGTACATTTGTCATGAATTAGGACTGTGTGGAAATGAATGTGGATACTGGTCTTGTGTCACTGGGCCACTTGGATAAAAAATGAAAAGGATCCAGTTCACCTTCAGAAAGGAAAAAATGGCCCTTCCTGTACTAAGGGATAATGTACCCCTTAGAGCTAGTAATAACCAATGCCCTTGATCCTTGCTGGAAAAAAGGGAAGCATGTAAACTTAGGAATCGACGGGGCTGGACTGGATCCTCGAGTAAATATCTTAGTTCCAGGAGAAGTTTACAAACGCTCTCCTGAGCCAGTGTTTCAAACTTTCTATGATGAACTAAATGTGCCATCACCAGAAATTCCAGGAAAAACAAGAAATTTGTTTTTGCAATTAGCCAAGCATGTGGCCCGGTCTCTCAATGTCACTTCATGTTATGTATGTGGAGGAACTGTAATGGGAGATCAATGGCCATGGGAAGCCCGAGAATTAGTACCTACAGACTCAGTTCCTGATGAATTCCCAGCTCAAAAGAATCACCCTGATAATTTCTAGGCCCTAAAAGCCTCAATTATTGGACAATATTGCATAGCTACAGAAGGAAAATAATTCACTAATCCCATCGGACGACTTAGTTTTCTGGGACAGAAACTGTATAATAGTACCACAAAAACAGTCACTTGGTGGAGTTCAAATCACACAGAGAGGAATCTATTTAATAAATTCCCAAGTTGCAAACCATATGGACCCACCCGGAGTCCCAACGGGACTGGACAGTCCCCACTGGATCATACTGGATATGTAGGCATAGAGCTTATGCCAAATTACCCGACCAGCGGGCAGGTAGTTGTGTTATTGGCACTATTAAACCATATTTCTTCTTACTGCCCATAAAAACAGGCGAACTCCTGGGCTTCCCTGTCTATGCTTCCCGCGAAAAGAGAAGCATAGCTACAGGAAATTGGAAAGATGATGAATGGCCCCCTTAGAGAATCATACAATATTATGGGCCTGCTACTTGGGCACAAGATGGCTCGTGGGGGTACCAGACCCCCATTTACATGATCAACCGAATCATACAGTTACAAGCTGTCTTAGAAATAATCACTAATAAAACCAGCAAAGCCTTGACTATTCTGGCCCAGCAAGAAACTCAGATGAGAAATGCTATCTATCAAAATGGATTTACTCTAGACTACTTGCTAGCAGCTGAAGGAGGGGTCTGTGGGAAATTTAACCTTACTAATTGCTGTCTACACATAAATGATGAAGGGCAAGTAGTTGAAGACATAGAGATATGACAAAACTGGCATATGTGTCCATGCAAGTGTGGCATGGATTTAATCCTGGGGCCCTGTTGGGAAAATGGTTCCCAGTGCTAGGAGGATTTAAAACTCTTATAATAGGAGTTACAATAGTAATAGGAACCTGCTTACTGCTCCCTTGTTTGCTACCTGTACTTCTTCAAATGATAAAAAGCTTCACTGCTACCTTAGTTCGTCAAAATGCTTCAGCACAAGTGTACTATATGAATCACTATTGATCTGTCTGGCAAGAAGACATGGGTAGCGAGAATGAAAGTGAGAACTCCCACTACTGAGTGAGATTCTCAAAGGAGGGGAATAAGGGAGGAGACCACCCCTCATATTGTCTTATGCCCTCCAAAGAAAGAAGAAGTAAAAACTAAAAGGCAGAAATGAAATCCACAAGCAGAGAGCCCGGCGCCACACCCTGGGCCTGGTAGTTAAAGATCGATCCCTGACCTAATCGGTTATTTGATTAAGAAAAGCACTGTGAAGATCCCTGTCCTGTTCTGTTCCGTTCTGATTACCAGTGCATGTAGCCCCCAGTCACGTACTCCCTGCTTGCTCAATTGATCACAACCTTCTAACGCGGACCCCCTTAGAGTTGTGAGTCCTTAAGAGGGACAGGAATTGCTCACTCGGGGAGCTTGATTGTTGGAGACTTGAGTGATGCTGAATTTCCTGGCCAAATAAAGCCCTTCCTTCTTTAACTCAGTGTCTGAGGGGTTTTGTCTGTGGCTTGTCCTGCTACAAAACAATAGAACAATGACATTGAAATGTTGTGTGTAATATCCTATATTTTAGTATCTTATGGTAAAGAAGTTTCTAATATTTGCTTTTTTAAAACAAATTTAAAAGGCACAAACTAGGGTAGAATATTTCTGATAACAAAACTACTACTTTTGTGGTTTTATGATATGCATTCTTTGACTTTCTTGGAAGTATCCTCTGTACTTGTCCACTCTTTAAAGAACCACAGAATTTTACCCTTACTGATGAATTGAAAATACATAGAAAATAAATTGGCATTTGTTTAGGATTCCCCCCAAACTCCATACCCTTAGAAGAAACTAGTGAGGAAAATAGTCTCAGTTAAAAAGAACTTGAATTTTACAGCAAATTTAATCTTGGAAATCTCCCTCCATACGAAGCAAGAGAACAAAGAAAAAATATTTACAATATAAGAATATCTATATATTTGAATACCTGGAGGACAAGATTGCCCTGATGTGGATAGGTCTGTAGAAGACCCTGAATTGGTTTCTAGCTGTTCAGCAAGCTGCAATTGGTGGCCGCATTATTATTGTGAATATTCTTATGAAACCAACAGTAACTAGGTCACAGTATGCCAGTTGTGAGCCATCCTGTTTGCAGGGTTGTTTGAAAAAGAAAACTTTTATTGTTACTGTTTAGAAAAGGCACATTCTATTTGAGCCCTTTCAAACAGGGGTCCAAAGCAATTCAGCTATTTTTTAGGCCACAAAGCAATGAGTATAAGAAGGAAGAAAAGGCTTTTAAGGAAAAATAATGAATCCATATGCCACATAATGAAAGTTAGCTGCTCTTTCAATGGCATCTCTCTGTCATTTGCCAGTTTTAATCCCTTTTTCTATGTTGGCAAGAATAGAAGCAGGAACACAAGATGACAGTCTGGGTCAGTCATTATCGTGTTCATGCCAGGTACTCAGCCTGTTATCTGACTCTAAGATGACACAAAGCACCCTGAAAATGTTCCAAATATGGTTGGATTCCATCTTCCACACTTCTTTTGCATCTCTTAATGGTAGTGTGAAGTCTCAGTAGAAATAACAAGAAACATACCTTTTCTTAACATACATATCATCCAGATATTTAAAATCCATTAACTCTTTTAAATGATAGAATTTTAATGAAGACATTTACATTAAGCCTACTTGATTAGGTTTTCATATTTTTATGCATACTGGCAATGTATACTAAAATAAATGTATGTTTATTATTTTAGTGGTGACATTTTTCTGAATACCGTTCCACTATCCTCCAATTAACATTCATCTGGTTGTAGCACTTGGGAACTTCCAGTTTCACCTCTGATGGGTAAGGAGCTTGCAAGTCACTATTCCCATGCTTACAACAAGAAAAAAAGGCTGAACAAGCAGAAAATAAAAGGCTGTTTTGAACCCATCAGAGAATTGAGGCCACAGGGCAAACTACAGTACTGAAATTTGAAATAGGTGAATTCAGAGAATCACAGCAGAGCTCTGCTTACTTGGAACAGAAGCCACTGCAGCCATAACCTAGTAGTAATATTCCAGTGGTGACTTTGACAGATTGTGGAAGGCTGAGTGGAATAACAGTATGAGAGTGAGAACTCCTGGGTGATGCAGATTCAGGAGGGTCTCAAGACTTTTGTGAATTTCACCTCCAGGAACCCCACCAGTTCCTCAGTGGGGAACCCCTGAGATAACCCCACCAGTTATCTCAGTGAAAATACAGTAAAGATCCCTATGGCCACAGCAGAAGGGAAAAGTAACCATCCTAAAATCCTGTAGTCTTCTTCGTAACAAAGGGCTCAGCTGATCTGGAGGAAAAGTTAACTGTCCTATTCTAGTCCCTTCTAACCTGGCTGTTTTACACAAGTGAAGAAAAAGAGAGTTTAAAAAATATCTGTGAAGGTTTAAAGTCCAAGGACATGGTGCCTCCAAACAGAATAAAGTTAAAAAACTAAAACCTGAATTTCCTATATACACACCTTTAGAAAGTATATAGATTCACTCTTATGATCATGGAACTTCTATAGAAGAAATTGAGGAACAAATGGATGATTGGTTGGAAAACAGGAACTGAACACAGAAGAAAAAATGCACCTGAATGGACAGAAGAGGACCTCAGCCAACTGATAAGAAGTATGGTTAAGTTCCCAGGAGGGACTCCAGGTCGATGGGAAAAGATTGCCCACGAATTGGGTCGATCTGTGACACATACTTACCCAAGGGAGACTGATTCCGTGTCTGCAATAGATATTTTTTCCTTTTATCCTGGAAGTGGAAAACCTGACATTATGAAGTGGTGTTTTTTCTGTTTTTTGGGGTTTTTTTTTTTGGCCAAGTATTAGTTCTGTTTTCATAATAACAAAGGTACCTTGGAAATAAATATGTAATAAATCTAAACTTCTGTTGTACAAAAAAAAGACTGATAAATAATAAAATTATAGAATGCTCCCCTTCCCAAAACTTTACCTCCACAACATCAGTGGGGCCATAAACAATAGTGGGTTGCAGCTGAAACTGCTGAAAGACAAAGACTCAATTCAAGGAGTTCTTAGGAAACCCAAAAGAAAACAGGAAATATTAAAAATAAGGACAACTAGATCAATTGGAAGACTGCCAACTACAACCACAGTAAACATTAAACATAGCCCAATTCCTAGCAAGTTTAACATAAAAATTCACACTATGTGACTATTACATTTGGAGATTTCAACACACTCTTTCAGTAATTAACATATTCAACAGGTACAAAATCAAGTGTGGTGGTTAACACTGAGTGTCAACGTGATGGGATTGAAGGATACAAAGTATTGATCTCGGATGTGTTTCTAAGGTTGTTGCCAAAAGAGATTAATATTTGAGTCAGTGGGCTAGGGAAGGCAGATCCACCCTTAATCTGGTGGGCACAATCTAATCAGCTGCCAGTGGATATAAAGCAGGCAGAAAAACGTGAAAAAGAGAGCTGGGCCTAGCTCCCCAGCCTACATCTTTCTCCTGAGCTAGAACCTTCCTGTCCTTGAACACTGGACCCCAAGTTCTTCAGTTTTGAGACTTAGACTGGCTCTCCTTCCTCCTCAGCTTGCAGACAGCCTATTGTGGGACTTTGTAATCATGTAAGTCAATACATATGTGTGTGTGTGTGTGTGTGTATATATATATATATATATATACACTATTAGTTCTGTTTCTCTAAAAGAACCCTGACTAATAGATTTTGGTACCAGGAGTGGTTCTAGAGGAAAAGAATATTAAGGATTGAGTTCTTTTGGGTTTGAGTTTCTAGAGTTGGTTGCTTAATATGATTAGACCCAAAATGCTAAGGACTCTACTTCTAATACTATGAAGAACACTGATAGTCCTTTGCATGAACTGTTTAGAGAGTTACACAAAATAAATGCATTTGACACTCCTGATTCACTGCTCATGAGAGGCATAGAGTTTAGTGACTCTATACATAATACTTTTGACCATATGTGGAGAAACAAGGAACATAATGGAGCTGGTTGGTTGCTCCTAAGTTCACTGGAAAAAGTGATGAAAGAAAATGAAGAACTCAGGGATTCTGTCTCCTGGCTTCAGAAGCAGATACTGAGCCTCAAAACTGCTAAGATTGCCCTGATTAAGAGTTTTATCTCCTGTAGAGAAAGAGCTGAAATTGTGGAAAAACAGACAAAAGCTCTTTATCATGCGAGTTGCTGATCTGCAACAAAAGATGAATGCACAGCCTTACCAGGTGTCTACTGTTAAAATGAGGGCATTGATTGGAAAAGAATGGGACCCTGCAACTTGTAATGGGGATGTGTGGGAGGACCCTGATGAAGGTGGGGACACTGAGTTTGTAAACTTTGATGAACCTTTTCTGCCAGAAGGAACACCTTCCTCCTCCCCAGTAGTGGCAACATCCCCTCCCTGACCCATGCTGCCATCAGCCTCTCCACATTTGTCTGAGGAGATAAACCCTGTGCTGCCTAAGGCAACAGTGATGACTCCCCTGAGGCAGTTGCCAGGCAAGATAATGTTGATTCTCCTCAGAATCCATCCCCAACACCCCTGTTTGTTTCTAGACCTATAACTAGGCTAAAATCTCAGCGGGCCCCTAGAGGTGAGGTTGAGTGTGTGACCCAGGAGGAGGTGGAGTACCCTAAAAAAAACTGTTTGAGTTCTCTAATTTATATAAAGAGCAATCTGGAGAACAGCCATGGGAATGGATATTAAAGGTATGGGATAATGGTGGAAGAAACAGAGTAGGATCAGGCTAAATTTATTGATTTGGGCCCGCTAAGTAGGGATTCTGCATTTAATGTTGCAGCTTGGGAAGTTGAAAAGGGTTCTAATAGTTTATTTGCTTGGATAGCTGAAATGTGGATTAAATGATGGCCCAATGTGAGCAAGCTGGAAATGCCTGATCTCCCTTGGGTTAATGTAGAGGAAGGGATTCAAAGACTTAGGGAGATTGTGATGGTGGAGTGGATTAGTCACTTTAGGCCTACTCATCCCAGCTTGGAGAATCTAGAAGATATAGCCTTGACCAATGTCTTGCAAAATAGATTTGTGAGGGCAGAACCTGCATCTTTGAAGAGCCCTGTAATTGCTCTTCTCTGTATGTCAGATCTAACGGTGGGAACCACAGTCACTCAACTACAACATTTAAATACAATGGGAGTAATTGGATCCCAAGATGGCAGGGACCAAGTGGCAGCACTCAACCATCAAAAGCAAGGTGGGTGTAGTTACAGTAATGAAAAGCAGAGGCAAAACGACAATCAGAATAATCTGACTCGCATAGAGCTCTGGCATTGGCTAATTAATCAGAGTGTTCCTAGAAGTGAAATTGATAGGAAGCCTACAGCATTCCTACTTAAATTATACAAACAGAAAACTTCTAAGTGGAATGAGCAAAAGACTAATTTGCATTATAAAAACAGGGGATCACAGCCCCTCAATCAATTTCCAGACTTGAGCCAGTTTACAGACCCAGAATCCCTTGAATGAAGGGGAGGCCAGGTCCCCTTGAGGAAGGATTCCACTACATATGGACAATTTATGCAGTGAATCTTTCTCCCATTCTTCCCCAAGGAGACCTGTGGCCTTTTCCCAGGGTAACTGTGCTATGGAGAAAGGGAATTGATCAGACATTTTGGGGACTACTGAACACTGGCTCTGAGCTGACATTGATTCCAGGGGACCCAAAATGTCGTTGCAGTCCTCCAGTTAAAGTAGAGGCTCATGGATGTCAGGTAATTAATGGAGTTTTAGCTCAGATCCAACTTACAGTGGGTCTGGTGGGTCCG